>NC_000004.12:137709259-138012290 GCF_000001405.40 Homo sapiens | reverse complement strand
ATAGTCACAAAGTTCATATAACTAAATCTCTTAGAATTTTAAATATCAAGAAGACAGATTCACAAATATAACAAAATCTACCCATGCACTTAAACTCCACTTACAAATTAATAAATGTAAATATTTTTAGATACAATAATTCATATTATGTGTAAACCCAAGCACAGTTTGAAAACTCAAGATAATTGTCTTATACAGTTAAAATTGTCAGAGGCCTAATATGATTGGCCCTTAAATACATCAGACATTCTAAGTATTTCAAATACTTAAATGTGAACACAAAAATTATCACCATACATAGAAAACTGACCTTTAAGCTTCACATAAGCACAGTACTAATTTTCTGATTTGCTTCATGTTTTTGTATTTACTTCTATGTCTTCCAATTATTACAAACCAATCAGTCATACAAGGGGTCTTCAAAAAGTTCATGGAAAATGCATATTATGAAAAAACTAGGCATGAACTTATAAATGATCTTGCACCAAAATAAACTGATACTAACTGTGATAACATGTCTGAACAGGATTGAGTTTGAGGCACTAAGAAGGGTATGTCATCAGTTTGAAAAGAACCCATATCAAAGCAACATGAATTCTGTTAAAATTGAAGCAAGAACAAACATCAAATTATAGTGAAGCTTGGGTCAAAGGATGGTGACATTATTGATAAAAAGTTTGTGGGGACAAGTCCCTCAAAGAAATCAGTAGTTTACAAATGGATAGCACATTTTCAGAGGGATGAGAAAATGATGAATATGAAGCCTGCAATGGCAGACCATACACTTCAATTTACGAGGAAAAAAATTCATCCTGTTTGCGTCCTAATTGAAGAGCACTGACGATTAGCAGAAACAAGAGCCAACACCATCGACATCTCAGTGGGCTCAGTTTACACAATTCTGACTGAAAAATTGAACCAACTTGGCCGGGTGCAGTGGCTCACGCCTGTAATCCCAGCACTTTGGGAGGCCGAGGTGGGCGGATCACAAGGTCAGGAGATCGAGACCATCCTAGCTAACATTGTGAAACCCCGTCTCTACTAAAAATACAAAAAAATTAGCCGGGTGTGGTGGCGGGCGCCTGTGTAGTCCAGGTACTTCGGAGATTGAGGCAGGAGAATGGCGTGAACCCGGGAGGCGGAGCTTGCAGTGGAGCTGAGATTGTGCCACTGCACTCTAGCCTGGGCGACAGAGCAAGACTCTGTCTCAAAAAAAAAAAAAAAAAAATTGAACCAGCTTTCCACTTGATGGATGCCAAAACCATTGCACTCAGATCAGTTGCAGAGAAGAACTGAGCTTTCAAGGGAAATTTTAAACAAGTGGGATCAAGAACCTAAAACATTTCTTCAGGGAATTGTAACAGGGCATAAAACATGGCTTTGCTGGTATAATCCTAATGATAAAAGACAGTCAAAGCAATAGCTACTAAGAGGTGGAAGTGGTCCAGTCAAAGTGAAAGCAGACCAGCCAGGAACAAAGATCATGACAACAGTTTTTTGAGATACTCAAGGCATTTTGCTTGTTGACTATCTGCAGGGCCAAAAAACAGTAGCATCTGCTTATTATGAGAGTGTTTTGAGAAAGTTAGCCAAAGCTTTAGCAGAAAATACCTGGGGAATCTTCACCAGAGAGTCTTTCTCCAGCATGACAATGCTCCTGCTCATTCCTCTCATTAAACAAGGGCATTTTTGTGAGAGTTTCGATGGGAAATCATTAGGCATTCACCTTATGGTCCTGACTTGTTTCCTTCTGCCTTCTTTTTGTTTCCTAATCTGAAAAAAACTTTAAAGGGCACCCATTTTTCTTCAGTTAATAATGTAAAAAAGACTGCATTGACATGGTTAAATTGCAGGACTCTCCGTTCCAAGGATGAACTGGTATCAACTGCTTATAAAAGTGTCTTAAACTTGATGGAGCTTATATTGAGAGATAAAATTTATATTTTTTATTTTTATCTTTAAATTAAAAATTTCCATGAACTTTCTGAAGTCCCCTCATACAAATAAAAGGATTGGAATTAAGATCTAAAACTGGCTGAAGTTTTTTGGTCTCAAACTTAGTTCCAAGACAATTCCAATTTGGGTAATGGCCCAAGATTCTGGACAGGCATATGGGATCTGGGTTTGATTATCGGATGATTCCACTGGAGCTAGAGGTTAAAATGGTTAATGGGTACCAACACTCATTTACGTAAAAGGAATTCGTTCAAATGTTTGTTAGCAGCGTGGCATGACTATAGTTAACCACAATGTAGTTTTCAAACTAGCTGAAGGAGAGGACCTGAAATGTACCCAACACATAGAAATGATAAATACTCAGGTGATGGATACCTTAAATACCCTGACCTGATCATTATACATTCTATGCATATAACAAAATTTTACGTGTACCCTGTAAATATGTAAAATTATAATGTAAATAAACAAAAATAATGGCTGTTTTGGGAAATAATTATGTCTGTATTGAAGGAAACCAGGGAAAGTGAAACTTTAAAAGTCATGCTCTTTAGCTTGGATTTTGTAGTTAAATTATTATTATTATTTTTTTTTGAGATGGAGTCTTGCTCTGTCGCCCAGGCTGGAGTGCAGTGGTGCGATCTCAGCTCACTGCCAGCTCTGCCTCCCGGGTGCACGCCATTCTCCTGCCTCAGCCTCCCGAGTAGCTGGGACTACAGGCGCCCGCCACCACGCCCGGCTAATTTTTTGTATTTTTTAATAGAGACGGGGTTTCACCATGTTAGCCAGGATGGTCTCGATCTCCTGACCTTGTGATCCACCTGCCTTGGCCTCCCAAAGTGCTGCAATTACAGGCGTGAGCCACCACGCCTGGCCTGTAGTTAAATTTTTGATCCAGCGAATGAAGTGTTCCCTGGATAACTTTAAAGACTCACCCTCTTTGTATTTTCATTTTAACCTTTTTCGATCTTATAACCTTATTTGGAAGATGGAATTCTGCACCCTACAAATACTTGCACCATACATTTCCTTGTGGTCAGATTGCAATTTATAAAATTTATACTCCATAATTTGTTACACAGGATTAGTAATTTAGTCCAGTAAGTATAAAATGATAATCAGCTAGACAGATAACAAAGTAAAATATAAAAGGCAAACAAAACTCCGTTACGTTTTCCTTGAGCAGAAAAAGAAGTAATAAAACTTCAAAAGAAGTAATAAAACTTCTTTTTCTGCTATACAATGATCATTTTATACTTACTGGGCTAAATTACTAATCCTGTGTAACAAATTACTCTTGAAATTAGTAACATAACCAGTTAATGATTATAACCATTATTTCCCTAAAGTTTTGTGAGCCAAAGATTTGAAAAGGGTCCAGCTGTTGGCTGTACCTGCAGTTATTTTCAGGCCTGACCAGGTTGGGGGTCCAATGCAGCTCACTCACATGATTGGCAGGTGATGCTGGTTGTTGGCTGGGCCTTCAGCAGGAGTGGTCCACTAGAGAGCCTACATATGGCCTTTCCATATGGTGGCTCACAGGAAGGTAGCGTTAGATTAGTTGAATTTTTTGTATGGTGGCTCCAGTGTGAGTGGTCCAGCAGGTAGGGAGGAAGCTGCATTTCTTTTATGACCTAGCCTAGGAAGTTGTATAATTTTATTTTCCTCTGTGAGCTCTTGGTCGAAATAGTCACAGTCCATACAGATTCAAGAGGAAGGCATTGTCTCCCCCTCTAGATAAGAGAAATGTCAAAGGCATTGTTGTCACTTAAAACAAAATCTCACACATATTTACGGACAAATTGAAGTAACTTAAATTGCCCCCCCCATATTGTGACTTATCCAATCCTAAAATTATTATCTTGTTATATGGCCTTTTTCATTTAAGCCAAGGTTCAAGACAACTTTTTCTTTTCTGTGCATGTGAACTGTTTCAGTCATTAAATTTATTACATAATTTTGTGCACCATAAGTTAAATTGGTAGTTCTAATTGAAGTGGTAAACTGTTATTTGCAATGAAAGATAGGAAATTCATTTTGATTCACTCTTATAATGCTTTTACATGTAAGAGCACTTTTATTTTATGGCATAATTTTAACAAAATATTTTCTTACTACTAGAAATAAGGCATTCTTTAATTGATCAATAAAACTTTAAGGGCCTTGTTAGAGATGTTACAAATAGAATTTATCAAAGGCACTTCTCTCATCAAGAAAGTAAGAGGTTGCTTGAGCATAAGATACATCAAATCAGACAAGTAACAATACGAATCAAGTATTCTACAACTTACAGAGGCTTATAAAAAATAAACTGGCTAGAACATTTTTAATACTAATGCTCTGATTTGCAATGGTTGTGTTATTTTTAACATGTAAATTACTTTTAACCGGAAGAGTTTGTCCAGAAAGAGAATGTTTTTCCACAATTTCTAACAGCTCTAGACTGGGTTCTCATGCTCTTGCTGAATTACAAGGAGTCTTTGCTAGAAGTAGGTGGCACAATGGGAATCTGTGGCTATGATTACATTCCTGTTCATCACCACTGATTCTACCACCTCCCAAACCTCTCCCCTTGTGGTAGTTTCCTGAATTGCTTTCATCCTTAAACTATTGTTTAAAATGACTTATTTTGAGATTTAAATGACTTTTAAACAAAGTTATTTACATACATAAATCTAGTTGTAGTAGATTTACATACAACTAGAGAAACAATTTAGAGGTTACCCTTCACTCAGTGGTAACATCTGGTAATAGTATAGTAGAGTATGAAATCAAAACCAGGAAATTTACATTGATACTGTCTGTCAAGCTTTTTCAGATTACATCAAACTTACATGTACTTGTGTTTGTATGTGTGTGTTGTATTCAGTTCAGTGTAAATTTATCACATGTGTAGGTTCATTTTTTTCACCACAGTTAAGATACAGGAAAGTTCTGTTACCACAAACATCACCATTATTGTTCTTTCATTAGCACACCCTCCTACACTATCCACACGCATTTACTATTCGATTCAACACTCATATAGGCTGGGTGTGGTGACTCACACCTGTAATCCCAGCACTTTGAGAGGCCGAGGTGGGCGGATCACTTAAGGCCAGGAGTTCGGGACCAGCCTGGCCAACATAGTGAAATCCCATCTCTACTAAAAATACAAAAAAATTAGCCAGACATTGTGGTACATGCCTGTGGTCTCCGCTACTCAGGAGACTGAGGCAGGAGAATTGCTTGAACCTGGGAGGTGAGGTTGCAGTGAGCTGAGATCACACCACTTCATTCCATCCTGGGCATCAAAGCGAGACTCTATCTCAAAAAAAAAAAAAGATTCAATAACAATTTAGTAAACATAATTAATACAGCTAAAATATAGGAAAAAGAGGACTATAGAAACTACAGATTTTTAATTGAAAGTATTCTTAGAAATGATTAACACACATAATCACTTTTACACACTTGTAACTCTGTTGTTCCACAATTGTTAACTAAAGAAAAATTTATAAAGGAAATAGCAATTCCCCCATTAAATTCCTATATGAATAATTGGAGTGAGCATCATATATATTAAAGTGTAAAGTTTTAAATGTGACCAAATAGTCTCTTCTTACTTGTTAACTTATATAATCTAAACTTTTTTTATGTGTTGTTTTAATAGCATTCATAATAGAGCATTCATCTTGCAATGGTGTATCAATGGGAATGAAAAAAGAGATTTTAAGGCAATCTCAGCAATCTCAGGATATTTATTGTTTTTTATCCAATAAGGCAAGTGATGCTGTATTTTCCAAATGCATCTTAAATCCTCTATCACTAGTTGTTTCCAACAATTTATCCTTTAAAACCTTATTTAAATTTAAATTACCTTTAGTTGAGTGAAAATAATTTTGGATCTATAATTTCATGTTTGGATCTTCTTTTGATAAAATAATATATTTTTAAATTTGCAAGTCGTCTGTGATATCTTTTATAAGCTTCAATATCATCCATTCCATGTCCATCACCTACTTCACTGATAATTATACAGAATCTCTGTTCATCCAAAAATCTAACTTTGGTTTTAGTTCTTCAGTCCTTTCTACCATTAATGATAATTTTGATGCATTCATTCTTTGTGTAGGTATATTAAAATAATTTTTAAAATTCCTAAGACATCAGACAAATAAGTGTTCCAGAACAATTCACATATTTAACAATTTGAACAAAATTGAAACTCATATTTAGATATGCTAAATTTGTTTCATGATTCAAACATCCTCCACCAAACTTTTTTCTTGAGCATGCCATGACAGTTATTTATAAGCAGCTTATATGTTATCATATAATAAAGAGGATAATTTTTAGTTTAATGTATTAGGCCTTACGTAAATCCCAAGTTTTACTGTGCTATGAAACATACTGTTTAGTAGAGCTGACATTCATCAGACTTTCTTGATGAAAGAAGTAATGGGTTGATTTCCATCTGCTAGAGTCTTTTTAATCTGAGTTTCTACTCTGAAATGTTTTTCTGTCATTAGAAGTTACTTCTGTTCAAAACTTAAACTTCAAACCATGTTGACTGAAATTTAAAACATACCTTGATGCCACAATAATGTCAAATTGTTAAAGTATGTGAAGTATGTACTCTTAATTTCTGAATTCAGCTTGCAGATGGGTTTCAATTGTGTCGTTGTGCATACCACCATTGGTCTGTGAAACACACTTGGAATAACACTATGTTAGATCCTTTTTCAGCCTAATAATTATGATTTACTCCCCTCAGAAGAGTCAAGACTAAACTTTCCCACTTACATTCCTGAAGAATCAGCATTTCTGACATCCAGAAATACTAGATTTTAAAAATACATACATATTTTTAACTCTCTAAGATTATTAATTTGAGAGAAAATAACTTTTGCACTTTTCAACACAATAAAAAGTTTATTAGAAAAGTTTAAATATCATCCACCTATCAAATAGCTCTTCCTTTCATTTACAAACAGAATAACATGTCTGAGATGACTAGAAATATTTTCCTAAAATTTCAGTATCTATATGTTCATCTAGCTTTCCTCTGCTTTTTATTTTGGTCTATTTCACTAGTGTAAGTATTCTGATTAGTTTCCACTGGTATAAAATAAAACAGATCCACACATCAACTGTTAGATATGATCCTTTTATGTGCTGCTGTTTTTCTCAGACTTGACACAACTTAAAAATTGTCCAGGAAAGTGAACCCCTTTTCAATTCAGTGTTTGTCAAGTACAAATGGGTTGTTTGTACAATAAATTCTGCTGGTATTCTTGGGTATATAAGCTCTGAGTTTCAGGAATTTTTTTAAAGTTAGGATCATAATACAAATTTATAGTTGTATTTTTGCAATTATGTAGCCTTTGAATTATTAGAGCCACACTGAATGATATGTGGGACTATTGTTTACATGCTTTTTCTGAGCCCTGTAGTTTCATTTGTACACAAACTAAAAAAAAACTGAACTATAAACTATCTCCATATCTAATTTCTGAATTTCCTTCTTTCTACATAACTAGAAAGCATCTTTTAAAATGCATTTATGATACACATTTTATCCAAAGAATAATTTCCTTGGCTAGATTTGGAGAATTACATTACCTATTTTGAGACTTCTCACACACAGCAGTAAAATCTTTAACTGCAGAAGTTTGATAGCTTAGTGTCAATCAGGATACACCAGTAGTAAATTTGAACAACATAAATGTAAATGCCAAAATATTTAAAATCATACTGATTACATTACACATGGAAGGAAAATCACCTCAATTTTGCATTTTATGCCAGCAGGAAACACTATATCCGTACCATTTTTATTCACCTTAAAGCTTCCCACATTGAAAATGATACATATTTACTTATTGAATGGCAAATCTGTTCATAGTATGGAAAACTAACTGTATGAATGTAACATCAGAATTTGAGATCTTTTTTCTGCGAAACACTTCTGCTTATGTATGCAGATGGGCTAATAGTGTTGCTACTGTCATTAACCCAGAGTCACTTCCAAAATGCTGTGCTGAGAGATTATTTTCTATGATTACAGTCTTGGGTTTCCAGTTACATGGCCTATTTTTGAGCATAATGCCATTTTTTTTTGGACTCTTCACAAAACACAAAGATTTTGCTAAAATAAATTAACTCTGTGGTCGATTGCCTCCCAACTCCATGTTCTCTCAACTGCAACTCCTGTTTTTCCAAAGCACAATGCATTGCTCCAGATCATGCCCCAGTAAGTCACTGACTTATCTTTCAAGGCACTTGCCTCCCATCAGTTCACTGGGTGGCACATCTCTGTTCCTCATTGATTCTTTTCACACAACCAGCCTAGCAAATTTGAATTCAAATGAGCAGAACATCAGTGCTGACGAACTGTTACTCCGCAACACTTTTGCTGTTTGTTTTTTAATCCTTCTATTCAATCATAGTAACAATATGTACGAGGCATTAGTAAAATTAGCTAGATTCTGAACACAATTTCAGACACATTAATTTTCCATTAATATTAATATTCCATTAATTTTTCTTTATTTGGAATTTGTACCTTGGTTTTATAAAGCTTGGCTTCATCTGGGATACATCCCTTATTGATATATCTACGTACATGCATATGTGTATCTATATCATCTATTTATATCTTTATATAATCATGACACCTAAAACGTTTTTGTTTTTCTCCATCTGAGTTTTGTCAGAATCATTGCTGATCATCACCCAAGTGTGGATGTGAATTTGGGAGCCATCCTTACCTCTTTTTTATTCTTAACTACACACCCCTACCCTGTCTTGTTTTTACTTATTTTGCTTCTCAAATTACTCTTATTTTTAGCTTACTGCATTTCACCCCTTCAACAACTCCCAGTTTCATTCAGTAAAAGCTGAAGTCCTTAAATGACTCACATGGTCTGGAGAGATGCCCTCTTCTCTCTAACCTTACCACATTGGACACTTTTTGAATAAAAGCTTTGCTTTTACTCAAACACACTTGCACACTCCCACTAAGTGCTGGCTTTCCTTTCTACCTGGAAAACTCTTTTCCAAGATACTTCCATGACTGTGTCACCTCTTTCAAGTTTTTTACCCAAATGACACTTTTGAAAATGAAGTCTTCCTAACCATGCATTACAGTCTTCACCCACCAGTGACCTCAATCATTTATCTCCCTTACATGTTCAGCTTTTTGCCACAGCATTTATCATTTTTCTAATATACTATATACTTCCTTATTTATAATGTTTACTATTAGTTCTTATCCCTACCTTCACTCCTACTTTCCCAGCTAGAATGGAAGTCCACAAAGATAGGATTTCTGTCTCTTTCATTCACGAGTACATGCTGGTTTCCCTGAGCAATGCCTAACAAAAGCAAAGTTGCTTATCAAGTAAATGTTGAATAAATAAGTGAATGGGCCATACCTAAACAGATAAGCAAATTGTAAATATCCCCCATAGTGATTAAGATATTAATTTCCCACAAAAAGATTCATAGATTCAATACAATCCAAAATTACAATCAAGCAGACAGTTTGTAGAAACTGGAAAGCCTAGTCTAATATTCATATGGAAATATAAAGAACCTAGCCTAGTCAAAGTATCTGAAAAACAAATAAACACGAAACTGTTGGAGGACTAAGCCTCTCTAATTGCAAGACTTATAAAGGGCTGTAGTCACTAAGAACGTTTTGCATTGTCTTAAAGACAGACAAATAGATGCTGGGCATTGTGGCTCACACCTGTAATCCCAGTGCTTTGGGAGGCCCAGGTGGGATGATCACTTGAGCCCAGGAGTTCGAGGCTGCAGTGAGCTATAATTTCACCACTGCACTTCAGCCTAGCTGACAGAGCAAGACCCTGTCTCTATAAAAGACAGGGAGGGAGGGAGGGAGAGAGAGAGAAAGAGAGAGAGGGAGAGAGAGAGAGAGAAATAGATTAACGAACCAGAATAGAAGGTCCAGAAAGAGATTAACATACACATGAACAACTGACTTTCAAAAGTTTAAAAGCAATTAATTGGTGAAAGAATAGGCTTTTCAACAAATGGCAGTGGAATAATTGGATATTAATATGCAAAAAGTGAATTTTGATCTATGTATTGCATCACACACAAAAATTAATTCAAAATGAACTGTTGTCCTAAAAGTACAAAACTTCTAAAAGAAATAATAAGAGACTATCTTTGTGACATTTACTGTGGCAAAAATGTGTTAGATATAACACCAAAAGTAAGATTCATAAAATAAACATTGATGAATTTGTCTTCATTAAAATTAAAAACTCTACTATTTTAAAGACTATGTTTAGCAAATGAAAATAAAAGAAGCCACAGAGACTGAAAGAAAATGTCTTCAAATTATATATCCTTTATCAGATATATAATTTGAAAATAATTTCAAAATAAAGATTACATAAAAATATCCTATAAGTAAATAATAAAACAAACAAATTAAAAAGTAGGTAAAAGACAGCAATGAACACTTTAATAAAGAAAATATATAAATAGTAAATGAATACAAAAAAGCTTCTTTATATTAGTTATTAGTAAAATGCACATTCAAACCACAATGAGATTTATCATTTTGTACTTACTAGAATGTTTAAAATGAAAAAGATTGATTGTATCAGGTGTTGGCAAAGATATGGTGGAATTTGAACTCACCTATAGTACTGGTGCCAGGTAAAAGGGTGCAACCACTTTGAAAAAGTTTGGCTACTTCTTAGAGTTAAATGTTCATCTGCCCTGTGATAAGTCATTTTACTCAAGGTTATTAACTCAGAGGAATAAAAACATGTGTTCATATAAATGCTATGACACAAATGTTTATAGAAGCTTTATTTGAAATAGTCTAAAACTGTAAATAATACCCATTAATAGATGAATGAATAAACAAATTGTGGTGTATCTAGGCAATGAAATACTATTAAGCCCTAAAAAACAGTAACTATTAATACATACAACAACATGGATACATATCTACATAAGTACGCAAAGTGAAGAAAGCCAGACAAGAAAAGGTACATATTGTGTGATTCTGTTTATATAAAATTGTAGTAAATACAATACATCCATAGTGCAGATGTAGCCTGTGGACAGGAGTTGAGGGGAGGGAAGGGGAGATTACCAAGGGGTTGGAGGATACTTTTGAGAGTAATAGATATGTTCACTACCTTGATTGAGATCGTAAGTGTATACATATGTCAAAACTTATAGAATGTATGCTTTAAATATATGCAGTTGATTATATGCCAATTAGTCTCAAAGATGTTAAAAAATTCACTACTCTATTCTATTTGATGGCTTATCAAAGCTTCAACTGATTTCAGTATTTTAAAATTGTAAAACTTCCTCAGTGGTGATGTAATTTGGGATATTAAATTTGCAATATTAAAATTTAGTGTTTTGTCTTTCCTTTTTCTATAAATTATTATTATTAACTGTCTTTTAAATTTTGATATTTCTAATAATCTTCAAATAAGTTTTCGATATTTCTGTTTATACATGTTATATAATTGAGTTATTGTACCATAATTACTTTCCTAAAACCATTCCTTGGGATATCTTTGTTCTAATATTTTACTTTATAATCCCTTCTTTTGATCTAAGTAATATAATCAAGCATTTTTCAATTGTTTTTATAACCTGCCTTCATTATTCTTTGATAAAACTAATGTTCATAGAATTTAAATCATAAATACAATTAAAAGCAAATAAAAGTGTGCAAAGTACAAGGCAGATAAGAGTGCAGTACCTAAACCAATCTTACAAATCAGCAAGAAAATGGAGAAAGAGTACGCTATATACTGAGAAGAAAAAAACCCATATATATATGCATTTAAGAAATAATTCTAAACATCAATGAAATGCAAATTAAAATGAGATTAATATGAAGAAGACATTCCCACACAATGATGATAAGATTTAGAATTGAGCAATCCACCTACAAAGGAATTTAGCATTTTTATACTAATCTAAAACTTGATCTAATTACTTATAGAAACATTAATGTCATGTTTAGGAGATAAACAGAAGAAAATGGAGCATTGTAAAGTTGTGTGCTCAGAAAATTTGGGACAAGGCGTATTTCCTATTACAATCAGTGAGGAGTATAATATTTTATGTATTTAATACAAATATACGGTACGCAATTAAAATCACCCTTAATTGTAATTTTCTATTGAATGGCTGTTTGTATCATTTCTGCCTTTGTAGCTATCCAATATATATTTGTTATCAATTCTACCTTGAAGAATCTTCCCAGAAAATTATAATTTTTAAGTTATTTGTGATTTATTTTATATCAACATATCTTCATTTCAGTGTAATATCAACTCATGGATTTTCATTCTTATTTCATACATGCCACATTTCCTTGCGTTTTCTTTTCGGAATGGCAAATGGCTTCCTGAAACTTCTTTTCTGGTTACAACAGTAGAATATTTTTAGAGGTGTTTACTTTTTATAAATATTCAGATGGTTATATGACACCCCTCCCCGCTTTTGTGTATTATTCATCCACCTTGAGGAATCTTTTATTGTTTTAATTACACTAAATGAGATGAGCTCCCACAAGATTCAGTTTTGGTAAAGAGGTAAGGGGCTGGTATATACTTGCCTCAGTTCTCTGTTGTCTGGATGGCAAGACTGGTGAGAAGATTGATTGGTTGCATTTTTTCCCGGACCCATAGCTAGAGAGTTTAGGTTGACATATTCAACTGTCGCTCTAATAATACTCAATTATTTCTGGAAAATACACTCCTTTGAAATCTTTTCCTCCCTCTTAATCACTCTGAAAAGACACTATGACAAAAAAACAGTCAAAATCTTCAGTTCTCCAAACTCAGGGTCGTTAGGGTTCTTTTCTCAAAATTATCACACTTGACTTTTTGGGACTATTTATCCCAAAAAGCAGGGTAATATTATCAGCACTTCTCCATCACCCATCCTCTCCAGCACCCATTTTCTCATCCTGCCCAGTTTGTTCTAGGTTTGTTGGCTTTGAAGACTAGCTATTTAAGAACTAATGCAGAAAGGGGATGGAGAAAGATGCTCTGACTCAAAAATAATTCATTAAGAAGACAATTGCCTTGTTTTTCTGGTTGGTATACATTCTAGATCTAAAGCAGGAGGTAACTTGCCAATTTGTGAATCTGTGTGTCATTAGATTGTATATTACTGAAGCAAAGTTAGGATTTGCTACAACCAGTGCTAGTTTTTTAGTAACAAGTAAATATTCTCTCAAAATTCTGTAATAAGTTGTCTGAGTTTTTAAGGGTTTTAAGGCTTCACATTTCTATGTCATTTAAAACATTTTAGGAATCTGAAAGAGGTAAAGCAGATGACATGTAAGCTTAAAAATCTATGATCTAGGTTTACACCTCACTTGTTTTGAGACACATTCCCAGAATTTTACTGCAGCCTTTTGTCTTAGATCCAAGTTGTGAGAGTAGAACGCTCATTGTGATCTCTGTTCTAAACTTAGTATCAAATAAGGTCTGAAGTCTGCAGACAATTTAGCCATGTTGTTTCAAAGCTGTTCTACTGGGAAAATTTGTGGCCATCAAAATATGTAAAAAATGTGTGCTCAACAAATTAAACAGTAATGGTATTCTAGTAGAACTCTGAATACCATTTCAAGTGGGTAGGTATAATCATAATGAAGCATTTGGCAACGTGTGCTTGATATTTTAATGTGTGTAGAAAAAATAAGTTATAACTCAACTTGATTACTCCAACACAGAAATTAAATTAAGTACTGAACTTGAATTTGAGACCTTGAAACTACATGAGCTCAGCAACTGCTTTGTTTGTAAGTCCTTAATAAAGATGCATAAAATTTCCAGTGGTATAGAGAACATAATTTCTGACCTTGGGAAATTTGCAATCTGATGGATATTCCAACCTTCTGATGTTATGCAGACCAATAACTCAACATATTTTTTAAAAAAGGAAAGTCATAAACATAGCTGATCCTTGTAATGCTGATTTTTTTTTATTTAGCACAAGAAAAAGAAAGCTGCAATAAAAATAGAAAGGAAATGGTATATTTTTCTGTAAGTGGTAAATGACTTGAAAAAATTTATACATACAATGTTTCATCAAATCAATATTTTAAATGACTTTGTTTTAGAAGTTTGCTATCAGTAATAGCCTACTGACTACACTAAACTTCCAAATGCTGAAGAGCTCGTGATACTCAATACATAGTTTGAGTGATTAAATGAGCACATATAAAATGTTGTTAATTTAGAATAAGAACCATGGTTTCCCTTCCTTTTAAAAGGTTTTCTATGAAAGAGGTTTTCGAAAATTTTTTAAGCCTTTGTGAAACTTCAAAAATGTATACAGGTAAATAAACTCTTCTTTTTATGCATTGATTTAAAAATAGGCAATTGACTAGTGCTTTAAAAATCATTCTTTGGTTCATTACTAATCTCTTAATGTCTACTAAGCTTACTGCTTTCCTGCTACTCAGTAAAATCTATTAGAGGTTGCTATGGATCTTTGTAATGTGGGATTTTTGTAATGTGGGATTTTGTAAATGCTAGAAGCAGGTAACAGGCTGCCGGGTAACAGGCTAAGAATCTAGGAGGGAACACAATATGAGTTTCAACATGCTAGATTAATCCCATTTGCCCTTACATGTCAGCTCTCTACTCTTTTTTGCCCTGTTCTCTGACCCTAGAAGGTTAAGTGAGGTGAACAGCATTACTGGTTTCTAATAGGCTTTTGCCAGTGGAGAATGCAAGCAGCATACTATAAGAAGCAGGGAGTGAGGGATGGATGCTGTGTCCTTTGAGAGAAGATTACAACTCCTCTCAAGGCAGCTCTTCTTTGAAACTGTAGCATCCTCCCCTCCTCTGGCCTAGCCATGGAGGCATGGGGACAGCCCTGGGGTTCTACCTTATCCCTAATGGTTTTTCTACAGTACACCCTGTAGACTTGTTTATAAAAACTTTGTTAAATCCTTTGAGAATAATAATGATTTGAATATTAAATCTGTTTTGTTTGGGCCCCCATGAGAAGAAGGTTTTGAGTGGTACTTATGAAAACTTGAAAATATAAGAATGCATAATCTGCCTTATTCAATGTAGACAATGTTTATTATCACTTCAGATTTTTAGAGAATATTGATTAATCTTCTCTGAATACCCTTGCTTATTCTAGGTTTCATTTGTGAAGGTATAGAAGAAAGAAAAATATAATTACTGACTTTAATTGAAACTAAGTACTGATGAAGACAATAACAAAATTGCTAACTAGGAAAACATAAAGAACTTAATTGCTAAAATCAATATTTCACAAAATTTTAATTGGTCTTAATATTTAAGGTAGACATTTTATAAACTATTAATTGTAATATCTTTCAATGAAATATCATTTTCAACATGCTCAAAGAGGTACCAATGATTTCTTCTCCATTATTCTAAGCAAACTGAGCCTTCTTTGGCAGTAGCAATGACATCATTTGGATCCTAATTGAAATAAGAGTGCCTATTTCTTACTTTTATGCCCTTGACTACAGCACTAAAGCATCACCTTTCTGAAAAAGACTCAAACATGATAAGATAATTTTTAGAAAGCATCTAGGAAAATAATAAAACCACCTTTAAATTTTTGTTTAAATGTCTGTAAAGCATTCTTCCCCAAAGGAATGATGAAGAAACAAAAGAACCACTCATTCACTGCAGTTTTGTTTTTGCCTCTCTGTCTCTTTTCTGCAAGTGGATTTATCAGAAAGAATGCAATGAACATGAATTATGAAGTAAAATCTTTCCATGGGAAATTCTCACAGACATGTAAATTAATGGAAAAAAAATCTCTCAATTTCAAAACGCTAAACTCTGAATATTTTAAGGAAATGAAATTAGTTCTACTGCCTAAAATTGTTTCCTAAAAATAATACATTATATTGAAACACTGATGATTGGTATCATAAAATCTATTTTAACAATGCATCGTAGGGACTTTTTATTTATGTATAAACCAGATTGCTTCACAATATTATTATCTGTCAGATTTTTATTTTGAGAATGGTATCTGTCTCTGAGTTTGGGCTGTATAAATCAATTATACTTGTGATCTTGAAGTAAACACAGCCCACATTAATCTTTTGGTTACTTGTTTTGTTCCTAACACCTATGCAAGAGCCTTTATACATCATATGCATTTGTTTATTGCTGTCTTCAACTTTTTGATTCCTATAAGAAAAATTTCATCTCTATATCAGGATTATGAGTGTTTTTGGTTCATGGACTGTACTGTATGCTTCTTTAAGAGTTTCTAAAGTTCATATTATAGAGTTATGTACCCATTATAAATGTTTGTGGATGAGTTCAATGTTCATCCTATTGTGTAGCTTATGCTAAATTGTCTGATTATAGAAGTTCTATGAACATAAGAATAGTTATTTGAAACAAGCTTTAAAAACATAGAGGTTTGGTCTTGAAAAAGACCTTTCCAGGGCCGGGCCTGGTAGCTCACGCCTGTAATCCCAGCACTTTGGGAGGCCGAGGCGGGTGGATCACCTGAGGTCAGGAGTTTGAGATCAGCCTGGCCAACCTGGCAAAACCTCATCTCTACTAAAAATACAAAAATTAGCTGGGCGTGGTGGTGTGTGCCTGTAGTACCAGCTACTTGGGAGTCTGAAGCATGAGAATAGCTTGAACCCGGGAGGCAGAGGTGACAGTGAGCCAACATTGCACCACTGTACTCCAGCCTGGGGGAAAGAGTGAGACTCTGTCTCCAAAAAATAAAAAAGAAAAAAAAAAAGAAAGAGAACTTTTCTATTTTACCTCTAAGCACCAGCCTGTTAACAAATATTGAAATGCATATTATATAGCCAACTTTGTTTTAAGCAGTTTTAATGCAAAGATAATATACAAATGGATCCAAATTATTTTATGTTATAAATTGAAAAATATGGTAGACACTTTTAGGCATTTTAGGTTCCTCAAATTTAAATATTTGCACTGGTTAGGAAGACCCCTCATGGACTAAGGAGTTGAGAGTCAAGGCTTCACTGCCCACCAAATTGAAGCTGTGAAAGTTAGATAGTTTTTCCTTCTTCCAATTGCTGGGGAGAAGGGACACAACTTGCTGAGACTTACATCTTGAGGATTGAAAGCAAATACACAGGGAGGTTAAAACATTATTTATGGCATTGAGAACTTGAGGCACTGTGGCAGTGGAGACAGAGCATCCTAGTCAGACTTCTAGAACCAGCCTGGTCTACTTTGCTAGTCTCCCTTGGATTCTGCTCATACCACAAGCATGCTTCTTTTTAAGCTTCATTGATTCTCTGAATTCTTTTCAGCTGAAGTTATCTAGTGTTGGTACAGTTGCTAATGAAATTGCCTTTGCAAAGATTAAGAGGGAGAGAAATCTAACATGGCTGACCCCATCTTGCATCTAACTTCAAAGGCTGGCTGTCTTTGCTCATTTCTGGGCATCAGCCAGGCTGATCTACCATGGGTAGAATTTGATTTGTAGTTTAACTTTGAAGTAAGGATGATAATAGCCCCTCCCTAAAACTGATTCCCTCTCCATCTTTGTAAGACTAATGAAAGGCCACGGGATTAGGATTATGAGCAAGACCTCAATTCTGCTAAAATGTAGGCATAGTTTCTATAATCCCTTACTGCTCAGGAGTCATGTGGCCAGAGGTCACAAGATTTGTCCCTTCTCCAATTGCTGTTATAGATAACATCACTGTTGTAAAACTTAAAATTTGTCTTTGAGATAGTTTTTAGACTGATCCCACCTGGATTTGTGATTCATGACTCAACTGGTACTGTGGCCCCCACCCAGAAGTGGACTCAGTGGATGAGAACCGTTTTCCACACCCTTATAATTGCTTCCCCAACCAATCACAGCAGCACCCATTTCCTAGTTCCCTGCCCAACAAACTGTTCTTTAAAAACCCTAACCTCCAAGCCTTTGGGGAGACTGATTTGAGTGGTAACTCCATCTCCTGTGTTACTGGCCTCCCATAAAGTTAAACTCTTTCTTTACTTCAATGCCATGGTCTCTGCGAATTGATTTTGTCTGTGCAGTGGGAAAGAAGAACCGAGGCAATTACACTTAAAGTCAGAAACCATAACTGATGTATAGGTAAAAACCAAAATGTACCCAAAAATTTAGGAAGTTAAATGATAGTCATATAGCAATATCTATAAGCAAAATAAAGGGTGACTTTGGGTTTTTGTTTTCCTAGAAGATCCATGGAAGAGAAATACATATGTTGAAACTTGATGGATGAGTAAAACTTAAAAAGGCAGGGGTGAGAAGGGTGGGAATTCCAGGTCACATAAGCAACATTGCCAATGTCATGGAATCAGGAATGCATTATAAAGGGGAAATGCCCATTTTTGGAGAATTAATTTTCAGTATTTCTTTTGAATCTCACTATATTCCTTACATATATTACTCTTGTTAATTTATCTAACATCCCCAAATAGTATTCGTTGCCAAAGGCTGGTGATAAATAATGTTTGTGGTTTATAAATGTTTACACAATCAAATGTCAACAGATTCCTGAATAAATATGCATATGAATGATACATACACACATGTTCATATATTAACACTGTCTTATTGAATTTTTTGTACCCTATTTTTTGGGTCATTTCTTTTAATAGGTCTTCAGTTGCTGCCTGGTGTTGTTGCCATGGTTGATGGCTATTCCATGGTGAGCAGGTCTATGCCAACATAACCCCAAAGGCCAAAGGAGCTAAGAGGCTGAAGAAAGAGGCTGACAAATCCAGTTTCTCAGAAAGAAACATTTAATAGGGAGTTATGGAATGGAGCCATGCCTGGGGCAGCCACAAGATGGTACTTCCCGCATGGTTATGCCAGACCAAGGGCTTATATAAAATAGGCAAAGGGTATGCATGCTTCAGAAGAGATATGTAAGACAATTGAAGTCATTTTATCCCCTTCAGGGATATGTGTCACAGACTATGTGTGTCATAGACTACAATTTGCTCAAGAGCAGGATTTATGGCAAGTATGTGTTTATCATAAGATTAAGGTGGTTTTGACCTAAGGGTAGAATTTACCAGTAAGTAGGTGCTGTTATTAGTAAAGTAGAAATCTTAGAGATATTTCTGGAACTGGGGTCAAACAGTAGTCAACATGGCAGATTAGCATAAAAGATAGTGTTGCTTTAGCCTCCACAGTGACCATGGGAGAAGGCAGGTGACACTGGTACTTAAGAAATATTTTGAGTCAACCAGCTCTTGAAACCCTCACAGATGGCTAGATCAAGAATGTATTTCATTAGTGAATTGAGGTAGTGCTTAGGAAGGTTAAATAAAGTGTAAATTTAAGTATATTTGGTTGGAACAAGTTACAGAAATTAAGGTTTCAATTGCCATATTTATATGTATTAATAAAAAGGTGCTTTTATCTTTTCTTTCTCCTAGTTGATTATTCTACATTTACTTCTCAATTTTATTTAAAAACTCAGCATAAAAATAAAAATAAATGTCAATGAAGCCATTTTAGTCTATGAATAAGAATTAAAGGTTAAAATGTGGTTGAAACTGGATTAAAATAAACAAATGGTTTTGTTTAAAAATTCAGTTAACCAAATTTTTATTTAGTTTTTAAAAATATTCTAGTTACTGCTTTAGGATAGATCAATTGCCTGCATCTGAGAGAAAAGGACATTTTTATGTTCCATTCTAGGAGAGAGAGTAGGCTTCATATAGGAATATAAATTGGAACTTGCCTGCTGTATTTAAGGTCAATATTTTTTTCACTGTTTAATTGTAGGAAATTCTCAAGCATATGTAACTACAAAAATGCTGCCTCAAGAAAATACCTCTTAGAGATTAGTATTTCTCCATTTAAAATTAGGAAGTAAATTACTTTTTATTGGAGTCATTAGACATCTTTTACAACTGTTTTCTTTAGGAAGGGGGAATTTAAATACTAAAAAAAGAATACTTTGTCTCTTGAATGCAGAACTGCCTCTGAACTCACATTTAATATATTGTCTATGCAAAACCACTATTTAATAATATCCTTTAATATATCACATTGTTTTAATGATAGCAGCTCTTTTATGGCAAGTTGCTATAAAGGGAATTACAGTAGTCTAACGCTCAAAAACTCTTGGCATATATCACTGGTTCTTGTGTTTACCAGTTGTGTGACCTTTTAAAAGTACAATAATCACATCTAATGTATCTATGTCATAGAAACCTTGCAGGATTACTTATAATAATGAATATAAAATCCTAGGTGAACTGTGAAGTGCTACAAATAAAAGCAATTATTTCTTAAGTTTTAAAAAGCATGCACAGTAGAAAACGACAGAACACGTATCATTTAACAGTTTCTACTCTTTATAATCGCTGACACTGGAAATCCTATAAGTTCATAGTGTAGAAAGACAAGGTTATATGTTTGCCTTATGTACAACAAGATAGTTCCTTCATCCAACAATATTTGTCATAGATTTTTCAGAGAAAGAAATAACTAAACAAGGATTTGCAAAACAGGTGGGTTAACTGTCAGTCCAGATGTATGCCCTGACCCTGGACAAAGTCAGCCTTGAGGAGGTGATTGTTTTTGCATTTGTATCTATTTCTAAATTTCACATCATTGTCTGACATATTAGAAGTACCCAAAGCACTTTCTATAGATTAGGAATGAAGTATTAAAATTATCTGTTTTTGTTATATTGTCCATGATATAAAATTGTTTATAATACAATTTGGAGATCTCTTAATATCAGGCTTACTATTTGAGTGGGGATAAAGAAATTGATCTGATAACATTTTGTTCTACTACAGATCAATAAACGTAATGTCTCTCTGTACTTTGACACATTTAAACTGTCAAATTTTTTTTTTTTTTTTTTTTGAGACAGGGTTTCACTCCACTTGCTCAGGCTGGAGTGCAATGGCGTGATCTTGGCTCACTGCAACCTCTGCCTCCTGGGTTTAAGAGGTTTTCTTGTCTCAGCTTCTCAAGTAGCTAGGACTATAGGTGCACATCACCATGATAGGCTAATTTTTTTTTTTTTTTTTTTTTTTTTGTAGAGGTAGGGTTTCTCCACGTTGCCCAGTCTGTTCTTCAACTCCTGGGCCCAAGCAATCTGCCTGCTTCGGCCTCCCAAAGTGCTGGGATTACAGGCATGAGCCATTGTGCCAGGCCTAAGATATCAAATTATAATATTTTAATTACAAGCATTGTTATTTAGTTATGTAAGATTATCAAAATATGGTGACAGATATTCCTCTGGGAGCAAAACAGTCACTACAGTTCATTATTGATTATATAATGATTATTATTTCACCAAACTGATACAACAGTGGCTTCTGATTTGTTACATTGTGTATCTTGAATTATACTGAACATTTGTCCTACCCTACAGTATATTTTGGGAAACCAGTCAGTACTGCTCAAAAGTTCAATGAATGTGAGATCAAATTATCATGAATTAAATAAACATTTAGTAAGCACCAGCTAAAATGGATATATGTATGTGTTCTATACTTAAAATATTCTACGTAAATGCTCTTATATGAGAATTTTGCAAATATAAAATGATTGCTCGCCTTCAAATATATTATCTACAGGATTTATTTTTTATTGTAAACTAGCCTACTATGTTTTCAGACTAATACGATGTCAAACACAGCACTGCTTTCAACACATTATGCCTCTTTGTGTAGTGGTAAGAAACACACACGTGGTTGTAATCACATCACTTTTGTGTATATTTTTACTGGAGTAATATGCTTAAGTTTAAAACCAAAATATGTTTTAGTCCATTCTTCTTATTTCATAAAAGTGACCACTTTTCATTGTGAAATCTGGATGAGATATTATAATGGAAAATGCTGTCAATAATGAAGTATCTGTTTATCCATAGAAAAGAATAGCAAGGTGTCCCAAAATTCTGAGACTGAATTTTCATATTTGAACATATCTACTAAATGTCTCTTCTTGTTGCTGTTTCTAGCACACATACTTACAATTTAGTAATAAAAGAATCACAAAAATGCATAATACCAATTAGTTTAAATATTTAACCAAGCAGCAAAACTGATATTTAATAAATTCTTAATTATTAGGATGAGACAATATATCCTTTTGGTTATTTTTCATAGAAAGCAATATTTTGTTTAAGAATTAAATAATAGGCTGGGCACGGTGGCTCACGCCTGTAATCCCAGCAGTTGGGGAGGCTGAGGTGGGTGGATCACCTGAGGTCAGGAGTTTGAGACCAGTCTGACAAATACGGTGAAACCTCGTCTCTGCTAAAAATACAAAAACTAGCTGGGAATGGTGGTGTGCGCCTGTAATCCCAGCTACTCGGGAGGCTGAGACAGGAGGATCGTTTGAACCTAGGAGGCAGAGGTTGCAGTGAGTCAAGATTGTGCCACTGCACTCCAGCCTGGGTGACAGAATGAGACTCCGTCTCAAAAAAAAAAAAAAAAAAAGGAATTAATTAATAATCTTTTGTTTTTTGTAGTAGTAGCAATAAAACTTTCTAAAAAAGATTCTTCAAAATAATTTTTCTGATAAATTTCATATGCTGTAGTAGACAGTAAAGACATATTGGAGGCTTGAGTTCAAGTAACACACATCTGTGTCATTTATGATAAGACATGTCTTTTCACAATAACCCAGTGCAAAATAAAGTTTTTTAAAAAATTTTATTTTTTAATTGACAAATAATAATTGTACATATTCATGGGTTACAGAGTGATATTTCAATATACATAATTAGCATATCCATCATTTCAAACACTTATCATTGTTTTGAGAACATTCTATATCCCTTTTCGAGCTATTGGAAACTGTCTATTACTGTTATCAATAGTCTTCCTACAGTGGTATAGAACACTAGAACTTATTTCTCCTATCTAGATATTATTTACCAAATCTCTTACTATCCCCACTCTTCCTAGCTTTCAGTATCTTCTGTTCTACTTTTTACTTCGATGAGATCAACTTTTTTTTGCCTTCCATATATGAATGAGAAAATAAAGTATTTAACTTTCTGTTTCTAGCTTGTTTTGCTTAACATAATGTCCACCAGTGTTAACATAATGTCTCCATGTGGTTGTGAATGATGGGATTTCATTCTTTTTTTATAGCTAAATAGTATTTTGTTGTGTATATATATCACCTCTTAAAAAATCCATTCATCTGTTGTACTCTTCAGTTGCTTCCATATCTTGGCTATTGTGAATGATGCTGTAATAAACATGAAGGTGTGCTTATGTCTCTGTGATATAACGATTTCTTTTCCTTTGGGTAAGTTTCAAGTAGTGGATTTGCTGGGTCCCATGGTAGTTTTATATGTAATTTTTTGAGGACCTTCCATGCTGTTATCCATAGTGGCTGTACTTACTTACACCCCCACCAACAGTGTATAAGCATTCCCATGTCTCTGCATCCTTACCGGCATTTGTTATTTTTTGTCTTTTTTTTTTTATTATAGTCATCCTAATTGCAGTAAGATGATACCTTACTGTGGTTTTGATTTGCATTTCCCTGATGATTAGTGATGTTGAGCTTTTTTTTCATATATTTGAGTGTCTGTTTAGATCATTGCCTATTTTTTAATCAGATCACTTGGTGTGTTTTTTACTGTTGAGATGTTGTCATTATTTGTACATTCTGGACATAAATTTCTTGTCAAATTAGTACTTTGCAAATATTTTCTCCCATTCTGTATGTTGTCTTTTTACTTTGTTGTTTCTTTTGCTGTGCATATGCTTTTCAGTTTGATATAGTCCCATTTGTTTATTTGATATAATCCCTTTCGTTGCCTGTGCTTTTGAGGTCTTCTTCATAAAATCTTTTCCAGACCAATGTCTTGAGCATTTCCCTTATGTTTTCTTCTGGTACTTTTATCATTTCACATCTTACATTTAGGCCTTTGATGTATTTTGAGTTGATTTTTACATTGGTGAGAGGTGGGAGTCTAGTTTCATTCTTCTGCATATGGATATTCAGTTTTCCTAAGACCATTTATCAAACAGACCATCCTTTCTCCAGTGAGTATTCTCAGCACCTTTGTCAAAAATCAGTTGGCCATAAATATGTGCATTAATTTCTTAGTTCTCTATTCTGTTCCATTGATCTCTCTGTCTCTCTCTCTCTCTCTCTCTCTCTCTCTGTGTGTGTGTGTGTGTGTGCGTGTGTATGTGCACGAGGATGGGATGCCTTTCCATTTGTTTGTGTCCTCTTCCATTTCTTTTATCTGTATTTTGTGGTTTTCTTTGTAGAGGTCTTTCACCTCCTTGGTTAAATTTATTCCTAGGTATTTTATTTATTTATTCTGTTTTTGGTAGCTATTGTAAATCAAATTGCTTTCCTGGTTTCTTTTTCAGGTCTAGGTCAGGTCTTTTTCCGGAGCTAGGTCACTGTTCATGTATAGAAATGCCACTTATTTTTGTATATTAATTTTGTATCCTGAAACTTTACTGAATTCATTTATCAGCTCTCAGATTTGTTCTGGCAGAGTCTTTAGGTTTTTCTTTTCTTTTTTCTTTTTTTTGAGACGGAGTCTCACTCTGTCGCCCAGGCTGGAGTGCTGTGGCGCGATCTCGGCTCAATGCAAGCTCCGCCTCCCGGGTTCATGCCATTCTCCTGCCTCAGCCTCCAGAGTAGCTGGGACTACAGGCGCCCACCACCACTCCTGGCTAATTTTTTTGTATTTTTAGTAGAGACGGGGTTTCACTGTGTTAGCCAGGATGGTCTCGATCTCCCGACCTCGTGATCTGCCCACCTTGGCATCCCAAAGTGCTGGGATTACAGGCGTGAGCCACCACACCCGGCTGTCTAGGTTTTTCTATATATATTGATCATGTTGTCTGCAAACAGGGAGAATTTGACTTTCTCCTTTTCAATTTGGATGCCCTTTATTTCTTTCTCTTGTCTAATTGCTCTGCCTAGGACCTCCAGTACTATGTTGTATAACAGTGGTGAGAGTAAGCATTCTTGTCTTGTTCTCATTCTTAAAGGAAAATCTTTCAGCTTTTTCCCCATTCAGTAAAATGTTAGCTGTGAGTTTGTCATATATGGCCTTTATTATGTTGAAGTACTTTCTCCCTATACCTAATTTATTGAGAGTTTTTGTCATGGAGGGATGTTGAATTTTATGAAATGCTTTTGCTGCACTTAGTGAGATGATTCTATGGTTTTTGTTCTTCATTCTGTTGATGTGATGTATGACATGTATTGATTTGTGTATGTTTAAACATCCTTGCAATCCTGGGATAAATCCCACTTGATCATAGTATATTATCTTTTTGATGTGTTGTTGGATTCAGTTTGCTAGTTTTTGGTTTTTTTTTTTTTTTTTTTGAGAATTTTTGTATCTAGTTTCATTAAGGATATTGGCCTTTAGCTTTCTTTTTTAAAAAAATTGGGTCCTTCTCTGGTTTTGGTATCAGGGTTATGCTGGTCTCATAGAATGAATTAGAAATAATTCCCTCTGCTTCAAGTTTTTGGAATAGCTGGAGGAGAATTGGTATTAATTCTTTTTTAAAGGTTTGAAAAATTTAGTAGTGAAGCCATCCAGTGTTGAATTTTATTTTTTGGAGGACTTTTAATTTAAGTATTTTGTTGCTTAAATAAAAAGTCTTAATAGTAAATAGTGGTTCAGTCTCATTATTTGTTATTAGTCTGTTAAGGTTTTCTATTTTTTTCTTAGTTCAATCTTGATAGATTGTCCAGGAATTCATCCATTTCCTCTAGGTTTTTGAATCTATTGGTGTACAGTGGTTCATAGTAGTCTCCTAAGATCCTTTTTATGTCTGTGGTATTCATTGTGACATTTCCTTTTTCAGTTCTGATTTTATTTATTTGGGTCTAAGGAACTTTTGTTTTGTTGATCTTGTGCATTTTTCAGCCTCAGTTTTATTTAATTCTACACTGATTTTTATTATTTCTTTCCTTTTACTAATTTCGGGTTTTTTTTCTCTTGCTTTTCTAGTTCCTTGCACCTTGAGGTGCAATGTTAGGTTCTTTATTTGAAATCTAATTTTTTGATGTAGGCATTTATTTATTGCTACAAACTTGTCTTTAATACTGCTTTTGCTGTCTCCCCTAGGTTTCTGTATGTTGTGTTTCTATCTTCATTTGTTTTAAGAAATTTTTAAATTTCATTCTTATTTTTTTACTTCACTCATTGGTCATTCAGGAGCATGTTGTTTAATTTCCATGTATTTGTATAGCTTCAAATGTTCCTCTTGTTACTGATGTCTTGTTTTATTCCATTGTGGTCCAAAAAGACACTTGATATAATTTTGATTTTTAAAAGTTGTTTGAGACTTGTTTTGTTCCCTAACGTATGGTCAATCCTGGAGAATGTTTCATATGCTGATTAAAAGAACATTCTGCAGCTGTTAGGTGAAACGTTCTATAAATGTTAGGTCTCGTCAATAAAGACAATTTTTAAACTTTGGGATAGAACCTCTTGTACAATGTGGTTCACAATTTTCTCCTGAGAAAAAATTAACTTTTCTGATAAAATACTTAAGTATATGATAAATTGTAATGGAAGTAAAACTTGTTTAGGAGACTACTCATCCACCTACTCTTGATTCTCAGTTGACTGTGAGACAGACCAAATATCTTTTAAATTACAGTAATTTCTTTTGTATGTAAGTTAAGATTGGTAATAAAAAACTTATCTTATAAAATACTATTACCAAAAATAAATCTGTTAGTGATGTTTTGATACTATAGAAAACCCAAAAGGCCCAAGTTGATGAGAGAAAGATCTATTATTTTAGTAACACAGAATTTAAAGTTAATCATAAATTACTGTTGAGATCTTTATGTTGAATGTCCCTTGCTAATGCAGAAACAGATCGCATGCATTGGCTCAATAGTTGAGGCAGAAATGTCTCATGAACTTACCAAGTGGACACAACCAGAGGGCATTTGTTTATAACATATTTGTTTTCAGTACTGTATTTATTAAGCCATTTGGAATGTTAAAAAGAAGTTAAAAATCCAGCAGGAAAATTTAAAAATCTTTATACTGAATTGAGATATATAGACAAAGGGAAATATGATAGGTGTGAAAAATTAATTACTTAGAAGAAAGATTTTGCCATATAATGATCAGGAGAATAATTTAGTAGTAGATGTTAAAATTTTGGTATATTGTTGAAATTTGACTTATTCGATGTATGGCATTTATTTATACATTGACATGAAAAAGAAGCAATAGCAAAAAATGTGCTAAAGGGAGGAATAATATACTAGTTTTACATATGTGTTAAATTTTTGTTTGAGTTTATATGCAGAAAAGACCTCTTATAGGTTTATCTTCTTTATACAGATATTATATTAAAGCTGCAGTTCAAAACTTAGTTATTATTATAATTTTGAGCTCAGCATGGCAATGTTATTCTACCTCACAACTCCGACAGATTTTAATAATTATTTTTGGACATCGAATGTGTCTGGTCTCTTTAGAAAATTTATTTAAACATTTTCCAATATTTTTAACTGCATTTATAAATTTAGTATTCATTTTAAACAGATCTGTTTTTTAAATTAATAACATCTTTCTGCATACTTAATTAAATAAGAAATCTAACATACTAAAATTAAATAGAAGTAAAAGTCTTTAATGTTTCAACATTATATTTTTGTTTATAATCACAAATCTAAATTAATTACTTTATTACACATTGTAATTTAAAATTACAGAACTCTAACTCTTCTCAGGAAAAAAAATGTCAAATTTTTGGAAGGGATGTAAGAAATTATTGGGTATGGTGGGGTTCTAGGTAATGTTTACTAGTCTTTTGGGTATTTTCTAATTCTGCAGTCAAGATGCACTGTTAATTGACCAGTTTACAATTTTGTAGATATAGAAATTGTAAAAATTGAAAATGATGCAGGTTTTCTGATCATAAAAATAAAATGGTTAATTATAAAAATGATTTATCATAAAATGATTAATCTTAAAAATGATCCCTAAAGATGACAACACAAATAAATTTGGTCTGAAAGAGAATATAAGTCTCTGAAAGCCATATTCTCATTTGAACCAGTTTTAAAACTTTACTTGTTTCTTCAACAATCAGTAAATAAACAAAATCTTTGGTAGTGTTCATTTTCTATTTTTATGAAATTCATGATTTTACTGTTTTGAAAATTATACTTTAAGATTCCATTAGGCTAAGTTATCTCAAATATATTCAACTATATAAACCATCGAAAAAAGAGAAGTGGTTCCTTCTTAACACAAAAGTACTAATAATAGTGCTTTGACTCTTTTAAACCTTGCTGTAGTTAGTTTTCTTTCTAGAGTTGAAAGGTGCCTACACATTAAAATGGACACAAAGCAGTCCAAAATCTTAAATTGCTCACATTACCTAATTCTCTTTGTCTTTAGTCTGCAGTTCTCACCCATGTTACTCACTTTATTGAATTACACATTGTGTCTCTTCTTAAAAGATGTAAATATCTTCTCTGAGTCTAAAAAGTCTAAAACTAAATATAATCTTAAGCTCTTCCACATTTTTAGAATCACTTAACTTCTCAGGACATTTAAAAGATTTTGCAATTGAGTTGTGAATATTTTTACATGGTTTTGCGTGACACGTTACAATTTGTTTGGTCTTTCTACTGACAGATTGAACTGTGCTTTATAAACACAAAGATTCTTTTTTTTTTTTTTTTTTTTTTTTGAGACAGAGTCTCACTATGTTGCCCAGGCTAGAGTGCTAGAGTGCAGTGGCATGATCTCTGCTCACTGCAACCTCTGCCTCCTAGGTTCAAGCAATTCTCCTGTCTCAGCTTCCCAAGTAGCTGGGATTACAAGCGTGCACCACCACACCTGGCTAATTTTTGTATTTTTAGTAGAGACAGGGTTTCACCATGTTGGCCAGGCTGGTCTCGAACTCCCTACCTCAGGTGACCTGCCTGCCAGGCCTCCCAAAGTGCTGGGATTATAGGCGTGGGCCACCACACTCGGCCCACATTCATTTTTTTTAAACAAATATTTGACAGAAAGAAATAATTTTAGGGAACATAGTTAAACCCTGTGATCTAGACATGTGTTTTAGGGAGTAAATGACATAGGTATGTATATAGTTTATAAATATTTTCTAGAATAAAAACTGATGATCATTTATTGCCATTATATATTGTAGAAATGCTGCTTTATTCAAAGTTTCCTCCTAAGAAAGTGAACTAAATAAATTTAAAAAGTTCGATTATTCTACTCTTACTAGCTAAGTAATACAAAAAGAAATTACGGATAGCTTACATGAAAAAATTTGGCAGCCCATACAATGCATTTAAAATATTTAATATTTTTATTTTCTATCAACTCAGGAGATTATCTTGCAAAAATTAGTACTTGACTTTAATTGGTGACTTATACCCTTATTTTAAGCCCAGAAATGCCACCTTTACTCATCGTGAGTTTGGAAATGACATGGCCCTCCAAAGGCCCTCTGGTTAGGGAAACTTAAGGGCAATTGCACTGGTTTGAAACAATAATGAGCTCTCTATAAGGCTGACTATGGAAACTTATCTGTCATTCTGACATGTTAGAAGAAATCTACTGGAAATGTTGGTGGCAAAAACATGAAATAGACTTGTTGAGATATAAGATATCCAAAAGGAGATACATTTAAAGACATCCCATTAATCAAACTGACAATAGAAAAGCCCAGAGAAAAGAGTACAGCTGTCTTGTGTAACCATGGATTATTACTTTCTTTTTTCCTTTTTCATTTTCTGTATTTATCAATTGAAACATTTCTGGAATCTGAATACAGTCAGTTTCATGTGGATGATTTAAATCTTGACAGTTATATTACACAGCAACTTTTTTCAGAAATGTAAATTTTTTTTTTAGAAATTCAATGTCTCCCTTCAGATCCACATTTCTCTCATCTAGGATTAAAAATAGAATGAAATGAAATGTTAAAGGGGAGATCTGCAAAAGTTTTGCTAGTACAATCAGCGAATTGAATAAACATGATT
Organism: Homo sapiens; assembly: GCF_000001405.40. Lineage (NCBI taxonomy): Eukaryota > Metazoa > Chordata > Mammalia > Primates > Hominidae > Homo > Homo sapiens. Next base: position 137,982,347 of record NC_000004.12, on the reverse strand, counting down.
CATGAGATGTGAATATAAAGCACTTTATTATTATTTTTCCATGATCACTTTAAATGTTGCAGTGCCAGTTCTTCCTCTAACTGGATAAAAAAAAAGTACAGTGTACATTGTCTTTTCTTGCGAATATTAGGTGCTAAAAGTTCTATGGTCACTAAGACTCATAGAACACAGACTTTTTTGGTGACTTTATAAGCCCGGTTCAGTGCAATAGTAATACAAATTTAAATTCCATTTGGGTCTCCACTCTTTGAGATAAGTGAAGCTGCAGCGAGATGGAGCAGCAAAGTCAGGCTCTTCTCACTTTGCTTTGCCAGTCCCAACCTCTCTATTCATTTAGTCATGACTTCTGATCCTTGAGGTAGAAGAAAGGAGTAGAAGAAAGGGCGGGGACAGGAGCACCTATCTGGCACTGTTCTGGCATAACTCTTTTCTAAACCTAATAGGCTTTCTCATCAGGTGCTCTCATTTTCCTTTTGAAAATGTTTCCTTCCCCTACTCCCCAATCTCAGTAGACTGGTCAACTATTGTTTTATGGAAAAGGCAAATGCATTTCTCTCTTTCTCCTGGTTCTTTCTTTCTCGACGCCTGTGCGTATGGTGTCAACTTCAGCTTCTTTTTGCCGAGTTTTTTCTTTACTCCAGGTGGTCACCTCGGCAGCATCCAAGATAATCCTACGCCACTCTTTCTTCCAATTAGGATCCATATCTGGTTCAAGGAAACATTCATTCTCTTTTGCGACAAATTGTGGAAATGAAATTTTCCTAAAACCGTGGCTCATGTTCTTCTCTGACACAGGTCCTCAGCCAACACATCTAGCCATTTAGATTTCTAAGGAATGACTCACACATTAGTTTAGTGATCATCTCACAAACAGCAGGGGGCATATATGCCAAGGATTCTACTGAATCTCTTTGAAGCCCTTTCACAAGGCTTAAGTTTAGGAGGTAGGAAAACAGATTTTTCTTTGGGAATGGTGAGACTCACCAAGAAGAAACTCTCTTCAAATAAATTTTCTTTGCATTTCTACCTAAATTGATAACCACTTTTACAGAACAGAATTTAACCACAGTTAAATGAGATACATGACTAATTTTCTCTTACAGCTCTTTTTGCAACTTCTGCATGTCGGTGTCAAACCTTACTTTAAACTATAGTCTCAATGGTCTCCGTGACATAACTGAAACTTCAATTAAGAGAATTCCATTTCAAAATCCAGACCAAGATAGCTTTAGGCAAAGACACAAATATGGCTCATTTTCTCCCATCTCTGGCAATTTAACAGAGACTTGACCCATTAGAAGAAAAGGGGATTAGTAGCTATTGAGACCACTTTGTCCACCAGGGGTCTTTTATTGTTACATAGACACATTCCTGTACCTAACCCTTATAAATATGTTGAGCATTTCAGGTGCCAGTTTCTTCCTTTTTTCTTGAGCTGGTAAGACTCAGAACCTGAGTCTTACCTAACCTAGGGTTAATATCTAAGGCTCCGCATTCCAGTGATTGCCTTTGACTTATCTGGCCTTGAGCCCAGAGGGACATTCCATAGTCTCGTAATAAACAAACAAACAAGCAAACAAGAATGCTATCTCTGTAGCCACTAACTACAAAGAAAGAGGCCTGATCCTTGATTGGGCTTCTACATTTTGAAAACAGTACACTCCAGAGCTGGACATTTTACTAGATCATCTATAGCAATTCACTAAACAAATTTGAGTGATGGCCTTATGACAAGAAATTTTAGCATCAGTCTTGAGGGCAATGAAACAGTCTTTTCCTGAACCACATATTTTCTTCAGAATCTATAAAATTACAGATGTTTGTGGCCACAAATTTTTGGTGTTTGTACACAAAAATTTCACAACTAATTGGAATCTTGGGCAATAATAAATGTACTTTAAGTTTTGGAGTACTGATCTTTCTTCCACTGATCTGCAGTAAGTGTGAATCTGTTACTAGGACCTAGTAGAGATAAACAATTTCTCTGATAGAAAGTTAAGAGTTTCAAGAGTAATATTTTACCCAATATCCTGATGGGTCCTGTCTAAATCAAAATTTTCTAAGCAGTGATAAACCCCAAAGACTTTTATTGTGAAAGGAAAGTTGTACCTCTGATCAAGAGACAGTCCTTCATACATGTTAATCTAAACAAAAGCCAAAATAAACAACTGAAAATTGAACTAAACCTATAGGAGCTCTAATTCAGATAATTAACTTTACAATAATAAATAAACAGTTGCTCACTGATGACCTCATCTATAAGATTTGCCACCAACCAAAAGCTATTATTTTCTTAATCGGCAGAATTAAGTAATCATGAAAAATTTGGCAGAAATTTGAAACTATAAAAATAACCAAATGTGGACCAGGCATGGTGGCTCATGCCTGTAATCCTAGCACTTTGGGAGGCCAAGGTGGGCAGATCATGAGGTCAGGAGTTCGAGACCAGCCTGGCCAATATGGTGAAACTCTGTCTCTAATAAAAATATGAAAATTAGCTGGGCATGGTGACATGCGCCTGTAGTCCCAGCTACTCGGGAGGCTGAGGCAGGAGAATTGCTTGAACCTGGGAGGCGGAGGTTGCAGTGAGCCAAGATCATGTCACTGCACTCCAGCCTGGGCGACAGAGCAAGACTCCATCTCAAAAAACAAACAACAACCAAAAAAACCCCAAAAAACAAATGTGAATGTACAACTAAAAAACACCATAACTAAAATCAAAATAATAAAATAAACAATGGAAATTAAGTGGGGTAGACACACCAGAAGAGATAATAAGTGAACTTCAAAACAGATGAGCAGAAATTATCCAGGATGTAGTACCAAGAGACAAATGGCTAAAAAACACAGAAAACAAAATGCACAGAAGATAGAGTGCATCTAATATTCATACAATCAGTTTCCATAAAGGAGACAGAAAAGATGGGGTAGAAGTGATATTTAAGGAGGAAAGTGGCTAAGAATTTTCCAAAACATTGCTCATACTAAACTATCTCAAATCTTTCTTTAACTCTATACTGGTTTCTGTGATCTAGAGGTTCACCACTGACTAGAATGACATTTCTACCAGGAAAGACGATAATGGTTTCAGTAAATTAGAAAGAAAATCTTGGAAATCTTGGCTTCTTATTATACATGAGAACAAAATTTTGTTTGTTTTCTTACAAGGTAGACGTGTTACATTTTGGATGAATACATGACTAATTTTCAATATAGTAAATAATATTTGTAGTATGTAATAGGAACCATATAGTTAAGAGTAGAATCCAGAGGAGCCCTTAGGTGTTACACTGCTTTTCCATTTGTAAAGATTAACTGAAGCTTATAGGACAAGATCAAAATGGACTTTGATTCATCTGTAATAAAGATCTCATTATATTTGAAAAAAATATTGATAGATATACTGGCTTAATGCCTGAAGAAGGTGTAAGTGAGTAAAGGAATGGCTTCTGAATAGCTGCAATGATTACGACTCAATAATGAAGTTTACAGTAATTTCTTGTTTTGTTAACATTAAGCAGAAATTATGATTAACTGTGATTATTGAATATTCTGCTTGCTTTCCCCTATTTTTCTATATAGGATAGATTGACGGTGTCTAAAAATTTCAAAGGATACAGAAGGACATCAACACCAGAACTGAATTTTCACACTGGGAACAGCTTATTCTATGGAACTGTACTGTTAGCACAGAATGCATTGGCCAAATATCTCTCTGAGGGGAGAGTGAGTGTTTTAAATCACACACAGGGTGATAATATGAATGTGGATGATATTAGAAAAATATCAGTGATCATGGTACTGAATGTTTTATTCATAATTCCTGCCTAATCTTCATCTCTCCTATTTGTGTCATCTCTCCTATTTGTGTCAAATCATTGACATGTAATGACCGCTTCCTTTCACCTTCATCACTAATCAGAGTTGATTGACTCTGATATAAGAAAATCTATAACTGATTAGATATCTAAGATTTATGCCCTGATTAAACAAAAGCAAAATTGGGCAATATTTCCCTACAGAGGGAATAGGGATTTGGGAAAATCAGAAGTCGGTCAACGGTAGTCACTGGAGTCTAAATATAGTGTAAGAATGGGTCTGGGGAAGCAATGATAGCCAGGTTTCTGGACCCATGCATTATGAATACATGTTTATTCATATCCTTAAATTTTTCTGAAGTTAGGCCACGCTGTCTCATCATAATACATACTTTATGTTAGCTTCTTTCAATGAGTTGTAGCCTTGAAAACGAGATTCATGACTTGAACAACTATTTCACTGAAACGTGCTGTCAAGGATATATATTCGTGTCACTATCACTGACTCTGGACCCTGACTGCCTGGGTACAAATCCCAGCTGTCACTTATGGTGGGATACTAAACAAGTTATTTACCTTCAGTTTTGCAGAATTTTCTAAAAATGTATATGTAATTCTATATATGCATTAACTCGTTTTATTGTGAAGTTAAAATACTTAGTAAATGTAGGCTGTTATCCTTAAGAAATTCTCTGTTCTTACACTTAGTATTGCATCTTGCAAACAGTTCTTTCTTGACTTAATGCAAATCCCACCATTATCTTTACCCACCTCTGTCATGGCCATTAGTTATCTGTCCCTCATGAATTTAGCACAGAGTGCATAGGGTTAACCAAATCCAGACTAGTTCATAATGAAAAACTGTGAATTCAATCCGGAGCCCCTAAATATAATGTATATGAACTATGCTGTTCTTAGAAAATGCTCTGAGGGAGTCCTGCCTTCAATCTCACACTATAAAGATTCCCATATAGCACAAATTTTCTCTCTCTCTCTCTCATACACATGCACACACACACACACACACACAATTTATTAAGTAACACATAGGCGTTTCTGACACTTCAGATTCAGTGCTCAGCCTGGTCACAGTGGAGCTCGTCACCCTACACATCCATTCTTACTAAAATGACCCAGGAAAATGCTTCTCTACATCTTGCCCTACATTCTGGAAACAGAAGGTTGCTGCAACTCAGTGTCATAAAGATTTGAGGAAGTAGCCTTGTGACATAAGAAATGGACAGTTTTTCAAAACATGAGAAAGATTTGAGTTTTGAAACTGCCTAGGAAAGAGAAAAGACTAGCTATCTTGTAAAATCCTTGCTCATAATGTAAGTAACATAAGGAATTAATGCATAATGAATTATGCTTCCCGGAATACTGAGTGTCTACTTTCTTGCCTCTCTACATTCTTTCAAATTCATGGTTCTGGAGTTACTCATAAAATAGCATAACATTTGTAGGTATTGAATATGGCAGGTAAGAAACATTTTTCCAATATTGTTTGACAGAAAGAGAGGGTCAACAGTTACATAAAAAGAGCAAAGAGGGCATAACTCACCTAGCATTTATGGAGGAATGCTACTTTGTGTTTAAAATAATATGAGATCAAGGGAGGAAAAAGCAGAGATCAAGGAGGTCTTAAAATCAACAACAGGGGGAAAAAAATAGTTGAATCATCCATTACCAGAACAAGAGAGAAATAGGTAATTTCCCAAAAAGAAACCTGGAATAGCTCATAAACATGCCAATTAGTTACTTACTCAGATTCATTAATAATCAGAAAATGAAAATCACAACAATATAATTTTACACCAGCTGGACTGACAATTAGAAGGTTGGATAAAAGTAAATAACGGTTGGGGTGTAGGCAAATAATAATCCTTATTCACTGCAAGACAGAGGTGTAGATAGACTTGCACACTAATAAACGCCTAGATTAGGCAAGACCTTTTGATCAAGAAAATATATACTATGCGAGACAGTCATTCCTCTGTAGGATAAGTGCATAAGAAAACTTTTAGAACCATGGTTAAATATCTTCAGTGTAGCATTATTTGTAGAAGTAGGATTTTAGAGGCAATCTAGAAATAGTGGAATAAATAAATAAACTGTAATCACTCCTTAGGAAAAATAAGTACAAGAGGTCTATTTTATAGCGTGGTGACTATAGTTAATAAAGATATATTGTATTCTTGAAAAATAGAGTGGATCTTAATTGTTCTCACCACAAAAATGATATGAGGTAATGCATTTGTTAATTAGCTAGATTTAACCATTCCACAATGTATATATACTTCAAAATGTCACGTTGTACCAAATAAATTCATATAATTTTAACTGTCAATTTAAAAAATAAAAATTTTTTTAATTAAAAATGTTTTTAATTAAAAAATTAAAAGACAATAAAGCTCTCCAAAAATGTAATCAATACTGACATGATATATTATATAGCAACCAGAAGCAATTAAATATAGGTATGGCCACACATGGTGGCTCATGCCTGTAATCCCAGCACTTTGGGAGGCCTACATGTGTGGATCACCTGAGGTCAGGAGTTCGAGACCAGCCTGGCCAACATGGAGAAACCCCGTCTCTATTAAAAACAACAACAACAACAACAACAACAAACCCACAAAAATTAGCCAGGCGTGGTGGCAGGTGCCTGTAATCCCAACTACTTGGGAGGCTGAGGCAGGAAGCATTGCTTGGATCCGGGAGGTGGAGGTTGCAGTGAGCCGAGATTACGCCACTGTGCTCCAGCCTGTGTGACAGAGCGAGACTTCATCTCAAAAAATAAATAAATAAATAAATAAAGGTATGTACAACGTTGATAGATTATTGAAAGATTTTGAGTAAAAAAGTAAGAAACAGGATGAGATATATAGAAAAATATCATTTATGTAAATTTACAGCACTTATGTACATGGACCAACACTGTATTTTAAAAAAATATACAATATCAAAATATACTTGTCAAAAGATTCTGGTGGGTGATCATGGTAAGTGAGAGAGCGGGGTTGAGTAGTGGAATGAGATGGAGTAGAGACTAAATGTAGAATTAAACAAAGAAGGGCTTTGCATGATAGATGATGATTGTGTGAGCTGAGGAGGTCTGATCAAAGGTGAGCATATAAGCAAAATCCTCAAATGTCTTTAGGTTCAGGAATATCCCAAAGAAAGAAAGAGCATGTATGCATTTGTGCACTTATTTTAAAAATATTTCTCAGGATAGTTATTTTATAGATCAGGACACAATCCAGGAATAAAATGAAATAATAAAATTTTAATGAGTATGTTTGATTTCATGCTGTGACTCTTAAAGACAAGAAAAAACACATCTCTTCTAAACTGACAGTACTGCAAATAACTGTCATGCACTTCCAGCCATTTATATTCATCAAGTCAGCATGAATTTCATCCATGTAAGTGGCTTTCTTTGGTCATGGGTACAATCTTTGGGTAGGTTGAAACCAAAGACCATATAATTAGGATAGGAAGGAGACAATGTTTTGTCTAGAACTCTACATTAAAAAATTAGAAATAGCAGTTTAGCTAGATTTTTAAGTGTTAAAGCATTCACCCAAATATCTTTGTTTTTACTTTTAGTTTATAGTAAATAATAAATTTAGAAGTTTGCTATTTTGAGGGTAAGGTTGTCAAAAAACTGTGGAAGTCTTTCTGTTACACTTCTGATCTTGCTTCCTGCCAGAGAGTCATCATGAAACATAACTTTCTACTTAATTTCCTGAATTGCCAGCAAGTGTGATAAAACTTTTTAGAAGACCGAAAAATGTAACAAGAAAATTTTGATGGAGGATTCTATTGATTTCTATGCACTAGCAAGGAGACTAGAGTTGTGATGAAGATATTTGGTGCCTGTCTAGTCTATTTTCTTGCTCTATAGTGAATATTTATAAACAATGTGAAAAATTTAGAGCAGCTAGTCTCTATTTCCCCAGAGGAAAAAAATGAAAAACAATGACAGTGCATTTATGTATCATTTTAGGATCAATATCTGCAGAACTGAATATGGGTTGATAGTACTGGGAATTTCTAACTTTGAATAGCGGCAAGGGTGAAAATATAAATCAATACTTTTTCCCCATTGAGACTGGATTCATGGTTCTCTCTAGAATTAGAATTAATTTATTATAACTTAGACCTTTGAGATGAAGACAAACCAAGACATAAACAACAAATAAAACCAAATCTTTCTCTCTCAAATCCAATCCAAACTTAGCAAGGCTTTTCTCTGAAGTTAAATACTATTTAAGAATTTAACAGCATACAAAAAAAAAAAAAAAAAAGAAAGAAAAAAGAAAAAAATTGGTATGGAAAAACCAAGAAATGGAAAGTAAAGTTGAAGGAAGAGAATAGAAGATGGTAGGAGATTTTATTTGTTTGTTTGGGTTTGGGGGGTGTTTTGTTGTTTTTACCTCACAGGGGTGAAGAACTGAAAGTTGAAACTTTCAGTCAACCACAAAGGCCAAATTTTATCACAGTTTCTGACAAATTTAATTCGCTCACAATCTTCAACACTTACACACTTACCTACACATGCCATAAATCCCTCCATCAAAGTTCTATTATTCTTATGTTGCAAGTTACTTTAGGAAGAACAAGCCATGATAAGCGTATTTGTGGACTATGCTAGAGCTGTAAAGATCCCAGGAAATGCAGAAATATTGGACGTTTTAGGTGCTAAAAACTCTTGACCTGTGAGTCTCATGATTTGTGATTTGTTCTGTCTCAATTTCTCTCTCGTAAAATCCTAGGATAACCACCACGACACCCAGCTCCCACCACATATAGGTGTAGCTTCTGAAATTTATCATTTGCATCCTGTGTCCTTCTTTCCAAACCCTCTGGGATGTCTGATATTGTCAAGAAATTTTTATTTCTTAAAAGTTACTTTTTCCTTGGTTTCTGATTTATCCCTTATTATTCCAAGTAAATCTCTGTGTCCTGGAGTATACACGACATTTCTTTATTTCTTCCTATATAAGGCATTCTCAAAGCTGCAGCTCAAACTCAAATTTCCAGGATTTTAACTTTCACTTCTATGTGAATGTTTCACAAATTCTTCTTTCAGTCTTAAGCAAATCAATCGACCTTATTTTAAATCTATAAACATTCATGCGTTTTATCTTATATGAGTCACAATGCATGGCCGGTGTTTGAGGAAGCCAAAAAATATCACTCATTTTCTTTCCCTGAGTTCTGAACTCATTGACAAGTAAAACAAAAGAATAGGCAGATTGAGAAGTTAAATATAACCGTTATTAATGGTAAAGTGATTTTGGAAAATGTGGCTTCTCCTAATACTAATACCCTATCCTAATACTGAGATGCAGAATCGGACCATTTTAGTCACCTCATTTCTGAGAGCTTTGGGCCTGGGCAGAGGCCTCATTGAGGGGTTAGAGTTTGATCTTCTAGAACTAGTGGTTTAGAGATAGGATAGAGCAAAGTACTCTCTAGAGACAGCTCACCCCAAAGAAAAGATGGGTGAAGGGGGAGAAATAAAAGAGAGAAGAAATTCATGCCAAGAAACTTTTTAAGTCATCCCTCCATTTTTTTGGGAGGTGCAAGTAAGAGCGGAGAGAGAAGCCAGGAGTGCTCTATTAACGACCCTTCCTCCACAAGGGCAGAAACATAAGAGGAAGAAAGAAAAGATACTTACATCAACAAGATACATAACTGAATTGATTCACTACCAGTTCTTCCTTTCAGCCTTTTTCTTTTACCTTGTAAGATGTTTTGTTTTTTCTGTCAAAATGATGTAACTCAAGTTCACAATTTTAAAAGTTTCTATTTGTTTTCACATTTCACTTCACATTCTATTGTTTTGGACATGTACCATTTTTCTTTTATTTACAATCAACAACAATACACTTTATTCTCTTCAATTTATGCTTGAGTTATTGTAGTAAGTTTTCTCATTTATTTTTCTGCCTTCATTATGTCTGCCTTCAATCTGTGTTTCAGGAGAGCAAAAGAGTCATCTTCTAAATACGTAATTTTCCCTATGTTATCTGTTTAGTTCCTCCTCCATACCCCAAATTTAGTGGGGATATCTTCAAAAACAAGATATGGTTGTATCATTGTGGAAGGCAGTGTAGCAATCCCTCAAAGACCTAGAGGTAGAAATACCATTTGACCCAGCAATCCCACTACTGGGTATATACCCGAAGGAATATAGATCATTCTATTATGAAGATACATGCACGCGTATGTTCATTGCAGCACTAGTCACAAAAACAGAGACATGGAATTCACCCAAATGCCCATCAATGATAGACTGGATAAAGAAAATGTGGTATATATACACCATGGAATACTGTGCATCCATAAAAAGGAAGGAGATCATGTCCTTTGCAGGGACATGGATGGAGATGGAAGTTATTATCCTCAGCAAACTAATGCAGGAACAGAAAATCAAAATACCTCATGTTCTCACTTATAAGTGGGAGCTGAATGATGAGAACACATGGAAACATGGTGGGGAAACAACACACCCTGGGGCCTGTCAGAGGGTGGGGCGTGGAAGGAGGGAGAGGATCAGAAAGAATAACTAATGGATGCTGGGCTTAATACCTAGGTGATGGGATGATCTGTGCAGCAAACCACCATGGCATGCATTTATCTGTGTAACAAACCTGCACATCCTATACATGTACCCCTGAACTTAAAAGTTAGAAATAAGAAAAAAGATATGTTTGTATGATAGTTATCACAGTGGTTGATATTAGCAATGAAACCAATGAGTCTTGAGCTAAGTTTTCGTCTCTGTCAGTAAATGCCCAAAGAAAATTGGATGTTACTTTTCTCTATGATTATGAGAAAAAAGAACTTGAACAGATCAATAAGCAATAAAGAAACTGAAATTGTCGTTGAAATTTTCCTCTGTCAAATGGCTACACAGCCTAAGAAGGTTTTACGTGCGAGTGTTACCAAATTTTTTAAAAACAGCTATTTTCTTTTATATATCAATGAAATTTGATGCAAAATAATAAATAATTAGCTAAATAAATTTAATAATACATTGAACAGATTTTTAAAATACAAGTTTTATCACAAAATTTAAGATTTTTAAAATATCATAAAATTGATTAATGTATTTAGTGAAATTAATAGACCAAATGAGAAAAGTGATATAATTATTTTAATCAATGTAGAAAAAGCTTTTGATAATGTTAAATATTTTTTATTAAAAGTAAAATCCTTAGCATATTAGGGCAAGGAAGAAACTTACTTAATTTGTAAAAGTTTTATATTCCAAACCTAAATAAAATATTGCATTACTTTTCTTTAAGATAGGAACATGAAAAAGATGTTCTATCTTATTAGTATTTAAAAGCATATTGTTAGTGCTCACAAAAGCCAATGATTTCAATAAAAAGAATATTTAAAATCCTGGCCAACTATCTAAGAAAAAAACAAAAATTGACATAAGAATGAAAAAATGTCAATTCACTACATATTCTATATATTCATTCAAAATACAATAAAGTTTATAATGGGTCTTGACAAATCCACTTTTGAAGTATCATAGAAGGGCATAATTTTGGCAAAAAGAGCAAATGGTGGGATCTGTTCTACCAAATATCAGTAAAAATTAAATATATAACAAATTAGTGTGGTTAGCTTACAGAAATGGAAAAAAGTTTACAGAACAAAGCAGAAAACAAAGAAATAGGTCACCACAACTATGGAGTCTTAATAAATGACCAGGCTAGCATTGCCTATCAAGATGAAAGAATGAACACTTTGGTAAATGGTATTGGGACAATTCGTAATCTCAAAACAAAAATTTCTCCTAAAGATATAAATTTGAAAGGCAGAATTCTAAAACACAGAAGAACATTTAGAAAAATGTCTTCGTGACCTTGGGGTAAGAAAATATTTGCTAATCACATTAAAAAATAAAAAAAATAGAATGATAAATTTAATTAAACTAAAATTTGAATATTTTGCACATCAAAAACAATACAAGATGGAAAGACAAACTACAGACTGGAAGAGGATATTCACAAATATGAATATCTAGAATTTATAAAGTATTTCTACAAATCAGTAAAAAAACAATTATACAGAAGAATACTCAATATACATACAAATATTTCTTGAAAGAGGAAACCTGAATGAAACAAAAAAATGAAAAGATACTGTGCCTCCCTAGTAACTGGAGACATGCAACTTGAAGCCACAATGATACCATTACATACTCAAGAAATAGAAAACATTAAATGCTAGAGAATACCACTGCTGGTGCAAATGTAGAATATTTGAACACACTAACTATCTTTGTGATAGTATAGATTGCTTCAACCACTTTTTTTTTTCTTAAATATTAGCAAGTAGTTTCAAAAGACATCACACTTTTACTTAGCAATTTCTCTCCTGGAAAGTCAAATTTAGACAAATATTTTTCTGTTTAAGAATGCTCATAGCTACATTTTTTGTAGTTGAAAAATTTAAAAAATCCTTGAAGTAATTCAAATTAATAAATGCAATAAAATGGAAGAGTTAAATGACTAAATTAGAGCAACACACACACATACACAGTCAGTGTGTATACATCTCAGAAACTTAGAGAGTGAAAAACAGCAAATTACAGAAACATACAAATAGAATGATACAATTTATGTAAACTTCATGAATATTCAAACTATTTTGTGTATTATTTAGATATACATGCATACATAGTAAATGCACTAACATACAAACAATAACAATATGTTTGTAAGAGTATTTACCTCTGGGACATGTAGGGAAGTAATATGATCGGGGGTCGGGGGGCGTATTTTAAGTTGTTTCCTAGAAACAGAGGCTGAGATGGGGATTTTATGAAAGTGACTTGTTAAGGGAATGCTCTCTGGGGAAGCAAGATAAGGAAAGCCAAATAGATAGGGCAGGAGGAAGAAAGCTAAACAACAACATGATATCTGCTGGAAACTAGATTCAGCCTGGTCCTATAGGATCACTGGAGAACAACTTACATGCCAAAGTTGGCCTTATCTTGAGGCCTCATCCCACATCAGTCAGTCATTAACCAGTAGTTGCTGGTGGTTGTGATGGGGTAACTTGCTGAGAGAGCGAGCTGCTTTTTGGCAAGGATAGTGCTCCACAAAATGAAGCAGCTGGAATGTTTGTAGGCAATACTCATAGCAACTAGTTGATGGATTAATTGTTTTGGCTAAGGGAATCTATGGGTATACCACGAGCATCTACACTAGTCCACTACTTGTACCATTCAGATCCTCTTGCTTCTCACATTTAGTTCACTACACTCAGGAATAGCTTATTTAGAATTCTGGTGATTCACAATTTCTAGAAAACATATATAAGAAGAGAGTTTGTGGAGCAGACTGCAGCCCTGGCAACTACATTTGTTCCTAAGGAATTAATTGATTACTCATTCTCTCTCGTCCACTGCTTACTCTATATCCCCCATCAAGGAGTAGGGGCAGTCTCTAGAAACCAAACAAGATGAGGAAACAGATTCTCTCTTAGAGTCTCCAGAAGTTACATATCCCCACCAACACTTTGTTTTTATCCCAGTAAGACCCATTTCAGATTTCTGACCTCTAGAACTCTAGGATAATAAATGTGTATTGTTTAAGCCAGTAAGTTTGTGGTTATTGTTGCATAACAATAGGAAACTGATCCAGCCCCCATGATCTCTGCCACCTGGCGTTACTCCCATGATTTACTTACATTATATGGCAAAATGGAAGTTATTTAGGTAATAATCTCTGTTTAAAATGAACCTTTTAATCACAGTGTTTCCTTCAACTTGTGGCAAAAGATAATGTCAGAGAGATTCGTGTGACAGTAAGTCAACATGAAGGAGGCTTTCTATTGCTGAGTTAGAGGGGGTCACAGGTAAGAACAAGAGAGCAGCTTCCAGGAGCTAACATCCAGCAGGAAAACAAAAACCTCGATCCTACAGCGGCAAGGTATTAAATTCTTCCAAAAATGTTATTGTGCATGGAAGTGGATTCTTCACCTGAGCCTCCTGATAAAAGCACAGTTCAGCCTTGTGAGCCCCTAAACAGAGAACCCACTTGAGCCCACCTGGGCTTCTAGCCTACAGAACTGTGTTGTTTTTAGGTCACTATGGTAATTATTTTTTGCAGTGTAAAAAACAAATGCACAGAATTTCCACTTAGCCTCTCCAATTATAACAGCCCTTACTTTACAGGTAAAGGAACTGATGTAGGGATTCTTTTACCTTCTAAGCATGTCCATTTCAACCTTACATCCGAGAACCTGAGCAATGCTGCTGGATGAGTCTGTGCACCCAGTGGACTCACTATAAGATGGATCTAAACCGAATGAGCACTCTGCTTAATACTTGACACACTTCAACAGGGATACCATGATGGCACATTGGCTCTGTAGGTTGTTGTGTTAGATCAGACTGAAACTGCCTTTGCAAAAAAATTATAACAGAGAGAAAACTATGACAGTGAAAGAGATCTGACCTAACTGACTCCATCTTGCTTCTAACCTGCTTGTTCATTCCTGGGCGTAAGCTGAACTAACTTTGGGAGGAGCTTAGTTTATAGTTTAACTTTGAAACAATGATGATAACAGACCTTTCCTGAAACAAATCCCCTTCTTGCCTGTGCACTGGATTGCCTTTGTAAGACCGACAAATTATCCACAAGATTAGAAATTATGGTTTAGGAGTCATCTAGAGGCCACGAGATTCTAAACCTTCCCAGTCGCTCTTAGGGATAATCTCATTCTTGTAAAACCTAAGATTGGTTCTTGAGATATTTTTCACACCCTGAACCCAATGGATAAGCTGGCTCCAACCAGACAGATAAACTGACTCATCTGGTCTTTGTCCTCCCCACCCAGGAACTGACTCAGCACAAGAGGACAGCTTCGACTTCCTATGATGTCATCTCCAACCTGACCAATCAGCACTCTCTACTTCCTAATCCCCTACCCACCAAATTATCCTCAAAAACCCCAATCCCCAAATTTTGGGGGAGACTGATTTGAGTAATAATAAAACTTCTCCAGTTCAGTCAGCTCTGTGTGAATTAAACTCTTTCTCAATTGCAATTCCTCTGTGTTGAAAATTGGCTCTATCTGGGAAGTGGGCAAAATAAACCCACTGGGCGGTTACAAGACTCTATCCAACAGCCCTAGAAAGATCTGGACACTTCCCTTTCTCAATTAGAGTTACCTAAGTAAATGGCTATAGGTCCTTTGTGGGAAAAGACTGGGGAAATTATCACAGCATGTAGTTAGCATGGTAAATACAAAGTAGTTTTTCACAGGAGTCTGGTCTTTCCTTCAGTCAATGGGTTATGGATTTGAGAACTGACCCAAGACTGGACACTGAGGAGAGGGTTATGACTTTCCATTTGTGTAAGTTACCTCAACTTTCTCATCTATTCTTGTGTGAAAGGAAAATAAATATTGGCACTCCAAACTCAGTAAGTCAAAGGGAAAAGTTAAGCTGGGAACTGGGTCATGCAAACCGGCCTATCATTTTGTTCCTAAATAAAATAACTACAGATATTTAAAAATGCTACATACCTCCCTCACAATTTTCCCACAAGGAAATTCCTTGTGGGTCCCAAGATCTTTACTCTAAAAGAGTTCTGTTGAATTTCACCCTACAATGTAAATTGATAGCTTATTTTCACAAGTGTAGGACAAAAGACAGAACTAAGAAGTCATTCCTTTGCTCACCTGAGACAAATGCAAGTCTGACCGCTTCCTCTGCTCTGTTTATTTTTATCTTATTTTAAAATGCAGATTCGCTGAGTACTAGATGAATGCATAAGTGAGTATTCCTCCACCCCTCTCACATGTAAAATGTATATGCTGTGAACACTGATCAAAGACTCAAAAGAATGCAACTGCAACTGCTTGCCTCTTGTGTCTACCCTCCCTTTTTTTTTTCCTTTCTTCTTCTTTCCCCCAGTACTGGCTCTTTTCCCTTTAAGTATTGAAGTCTCCAGACCCTCTTCGGAGAAAAGATGGACCACAGATTTTTCCTGTGGTTCTGTGTTCTTTTCCTCAGATGCATCCTTAACATTGGCCAATAAACCTCTTAAAACGATTGAGGCTAACCTTGGTCATTCTCTTTGATTTACACTTGATTTCCTTTGATTACATATATTAAGAAATACTTTTGTTGACCTCCCATCTAATATTCCCCTAAGAAAGTCATGTTCTACTAGCCATGACAATAGAGTTTTGCAGATCAATCTTTCCTAGTTGCTATTCTAACCTTACTGCTCATTACAACAACTACAATTACTTCTGTTTTGGGGATACTATCATCCCATCTCTACTTGGGATCCCTGTTCTTTAACAGCATCTCCTACCATCAGTCCCAGTTTGCAGAGGACACCCATTGCTGAGCTTCTCAACCAATGCTAGAGCCCCTTCATACTCCATATTAAATGGAGTGTGATCCAGATCCTTCCAAAAAACATAGTCAGTTATTGCTTTGTTCATTTTTACAGAGTAGAACCATTCTAGAATGCCCAATGCTCTGAGTTTTTAAACTGTTTCTTTTATAGTCTGCATTGACAATTCTGGCATCTCTACTTCATTTAATCTGGGCAATCAGTTTTCTTAAACTTCTAAAAGCCATACTCAGCAGTGTGTTAGGCTCATGTTCTCAAGTCTTCACCAGGATGTTAAATCTTGTACCATGGTAAGTGCGCCCATATTGACACAGTCTCTCTTATCTAGTTTTATATTCTTTCTCTCTTGATCCAGCATCCTGGATTATGGGTCTGGTGGCCAGGAATAGAGGCGGAAGCAGACCCTAAGAGGAGCAAGCATTGTTATATAGGGTACCTATAGAATATCTGCCACAATTGGAAGCTCTGCATGGTCTTTGAGTAAAGGGGGCTCTCCATCTTCAAACAAAGGGAAGTGGGCTACTTTTGTAGTCATATATGGTTCAGGGAAATCTGAAAGTTCAAACACTCAGGGCATCTGTCCCAGATAGGTCCATCCAAAGTCTCAGAGTTCCTACATTTTGCCTATTAGGGCTGTGACTTTGGCATAGAATACTTGGCTAGAGTAAGAATTCAACCTTCTTTGAACTTCTGCTTTTCTCACTCTTTTACAATTAGGAGCTATTCCTGGATTTTATTGCTGAATGCCCTTAATTGGCAGTTGAGTGGTCGACTTTTCAAATGCTGCCAAGTAGGTTCTCTGACACATAATTTGCTTAAAACGTTTTGTTTTTGTTTTTAAATAGAATGCTGTTATTTCTCTCAATGTAACAGGGCACTTTGGGGCACAGTAATCGTTAAGTACTGTAAATTTAGTAGCCACCTAATTTCACAGTACTTATGGTTAGTATTTCTCTTATATCATTGCACCAACTCATGTGTTCCCTTTTACTTATATCCTGTCACAGTTCACCCAATGAAAAGGAGTGAAGATCGTGAAGTGGGGCACCAGCAAATCTCAGAGCTGCTCTATGCTAGAGACCATCAATTCTCTATCTACCACCCAATGAGTTTGCAATGCCATTTGACTGATGAGTGATAGAACTTGAGGCTCCCACAATTAGAGTTGGCTTCCTCTGATCACTTTTGTTACCAACTGCTTGAGGCCAGTTTCCCCAGGAGCAGAACCTGAGCAGAGCAGAGTCTGAAGTCTTGCACCAGTGAAGTTATTGAGGTCATGCTGTCAGGAAAAACAGCATACGTGAGAAGCCAGGGCAGGGAAAAAGGCCAAGCAAGGATGTGGTCTCTGCTGGAGGAAAGCTTCAGACTTGTCCCATGGAAGATTTGGAGCACAATTTGCACCAAAAAGCTGGTTCTGCCTTGAGCTACCCAGGTAGATCAGGATTAGGATCACTGGTCAAGGTTTAGGGTCCACCATAATTTAATTTAATTACATCTCTCAAGTTTTTTTGACAGTCCATAACAGTCCCCTACTTTAACTTAGTATTTTAAAATTTTCTGCTGTTAAAAATTGGTTTACTTTTACAACATATTTTATTTCAAGGACATTTTTCATTTTGAGACTGACAAAAATGAGAATGATTCCAATTTAGTTTTCATTTTCCTTTGTACAATATAAAAGAATCATCTGTGAATACTAAAATTAAAATTAAAACATTAAAATGAGTAAATGGTACAATCTTGTCTTTCCTTGACATAATTAAGGAAAGACAATATTCATAAGAATAAGATCAGGTACAGACTTGTATCTCTGAAAAGCTAGTGCAGGGATTATTTTTGCAGGAATTTAAGCAGCAAGAACCAAATGTGATTTGTCTTTCTTCAAATGTGAAGTTTTATTTAATTAGAAATTGAATGAGAAGAAAATACGTTTCCTACACATTAATAAAATTTTACTTGGTTCAAATTTGAATACCATTTTCCTAAATCACATATTTTAAAAGCTTGGATTAACCAAGATCAACAGTGTATAAAACACCAGGGGTCTATCTTTGAAGACAATCCGTGGTACGGCAATGAAGGGAGTAGTGGGTTTTGATCAGCAAGAAATAGATAGCCCAAGAGACACATTTTTATTGGCAAATAAAAACCTTTTTAAAAATCTATCAATTTTAATTTCCAGAAATACTATTTCAGCAGATGAAAGCTTATGGTAATGTGAGAGAAGAAAAAGAAAAACAGTTGACAAAAAGAAATGAAAATGAGTTCATATACTAAGGCAGAAGAAATATAAACTAATGAAAAGAGCCACATGAGTAAAAGAATAATGATAAAAAAATTCACAGTTTAAAAAGCATTATCACATATATATGTAGATTGTTCCTTTAAGCTACCATGTGAAGTAGCAGGATGCTTTTGTTCTCATCTTATAAGTTGAGGAATTAGAACTCATGCCAGTTCTGTTTTTTGATTCCAAGTTCTATGAGCACAGATTACAGCAAAACCATCCTCTGTCAAGTAGAAAGAACCAGTTTACTTGGGATAATAAAGTCACTCTTCTTGTCACTGAAAATATGGCAATGAGTGAAAATCACAGAAGTCTCTGCTCCTTTGAGGTTTAGAAATGATAGTAAGAGCAGACTTACACCTTCCATCTTCCCAGGAACTGATCAAAATATACAGAGAGGCAAAAACAGTGGAAAATAAAACTATTAGCATTTAAAGATATGGGAATGGTACCAAACACATCAATGCAATGTAGAAAACAAAAACAGAAGTAAAGAACTTAACACTCAATTCAGCCCTGTACGAATTAATGACTGAACAAAGGAATGGGACAAGTGAAAATTGACAGTCTTTGAGGTCATAGGAGAGAGAAAGGGGAGAACAGAAGGAAGGGAAAGAAATACTCAGGAATGCAGTTAATAATGGATATGCGGCAGAGTTAAATAAAGAAAATTATAGAGCTACTGAATGACATAAAAGACACACAAGAAAACATGAGATATTTGGACACAATAATATTTTGAAATGAAACATCTTTAAATCTATAACTTGAAAACAATGGATGTTTTACAGGTGGCATTTATCTTTAAATCTATAACTTCAACATAATGAGAATTTGTAGGGAGAGATGAGCAAAGCAGGATAATTCTAACAGGATAATTCTATATAAGTAGAGTAATGAGCTATTGGGATTTAATTTGATACAAACAGAACCACTAAGGCAAGTATTTGTTTTTGTCACTTATGTAAATTTTTTTTAACTGGGATGAAATTAAGTCACAGCAAGGGAGACTTAGCACCAAAGGAAAACTTTGTGTTTGAACATCTAATTTTTATTTAGAGATACAGTCCATATGACATAGACTGTTTATGATGGGACTGAGGTCTGCTAAGTGACTCACAAGAGAAATCCTGCTTGGTAATGGGTGTAGGCTATATGTCTATTAAATCAAATATTTTTCACACATACATTCCCTTTTGTTCACTTAATGCTTTACTTGGATTTTTAAAGTGTCTTCTTCAGTAATTCCTTTCTACAATATTGTGGACTTATCCTTGGGGAAGAAACACATTGTTCGGGTTTCTTTGAAGAGATTTTTCCGGAAATATTGATGTTCTGTGAATGATTTGACTTTAAAAAAAATTTGTATATACTTTTAAAGTTGGTTTTATTTTTAAAATATCTCATAGAACTTTTGATTTTGTGGCCATGTATTCTTAGAGATGATAAACAGTTACCACCATTTATTATACCTTTGGGAACTACCTTGTCAATTTCGATAGAATTTTCCAATATTTTTTCATTATAGATTTTGAGCAGCTTTCCTATTTCAAGTTGCTTTATTCCTTCTAACAAGGGCCCGTATAAAAATGTTTATATTATCTAAGTGTTCTCAGTAACTGACAAGAAAAGAACCAGGATTACTCTGACTTTATGTTGACTTCTAAGGGAAGAGGAACCTATTTATCCAGTCATGGTTGAAAGTCGACGCTTAATGTGCTCAAGTACAGATATAGGTTTTACACTGGAGAGAACCCTAGACCTATATCTGTACTAGAATCTAGTACAGATATAGGGTTTACACTGGAGAGAATCCCTAGATAAGCATGGGATAAAGTGCCAGAAAAGGGCAAAGCGCTTGCCAGTGCTCTTATTTTTATTCCAGCCACCTGGAAATAGAGTCATATGGATAACAATGGCAAGATAATTCCATTACTTTATTACTTGAAACTTACCAGAAATATGAAATAATTTCAGTGACCCTTAAGCAAGAATACTGGTAAACTAGATCTACTTCTATCATAGGGCTCTGGTGATCAATAGCACTAAGATCTTTGGCAAGTTAGTTAATCTCTGCCTCAGTTTATGCACTGGCTTCATGGGGATACTATATTCCTCATCAAGCACTTGTGAAAATTAAATGAGATAATGTATGGTAAGCACTTAAGACCACTCCTGGTAATCATTTGTACTTGAAAATAATAGTTTTATAATTTAATTTCTGTATTCTTTTTCTTCCACTCTGGATACAATTCCAACTAGGCTTGATAACATTTGGAGCTGTACACAGACTGCTGTGTTATGATATTTATAGAGATTCTTGTTGCAGGTAGCAGAAACTGACTCTGACTAATGAAGCAGAAAAGGTGTTTATTAACAATAACAAAAATGGGTAACTCATGGAATGCTAGGGTGCTAAAGAACCAGGCTCAAGATTCAGCTTCCAGGAACACTGCCCAGAACTATGCCAAGAGCTGGCTTGCTGACTAAACTGGCACTACTCCCACCCTCCACACCCTCCTGCCAGGAACTCCAATTTACTATCACCCCTACTGGAATCATTTCAGACCCAGAAATGTAATTTTGCAACCTCTGCCATTCAGAAATCCAGCTGCTTCTGCCACTGCCCTCAAGCAAAATGGGTTCTGTGCAGATAGATTCTCCTTCCTGTTGCTCAATTTTGAATTGAGGTCTTGTGTTAGTGATCTCATTCATTGAGCCTGAGCACCAAAGATGAAGAAATTAAGTCTTGTGGATTCTATCTTGGAGAAGCTCAAATCATAAAGGTGGAAATTCTCCAAAATAAGGATGTTCAAAAGTTGGAGGAACAGAAAATTGTCCATTGTAAATCAGTGCAGGAGGAAATTTTTTTCTGCTTTGAGCAACCGCTGTTAAAGAAACAGTCATGTTAGTGTGCCTTGTTCATAAGTGAAGAGTCTGCTTGATTTATGGTGGTTTGTCTCTGATCCAGATCCAAATGTTTTGACTACTTGACTCACAGTGTATTAGAATACACTTCCTTTGCATCAACCAGTAAAACACTGAAACCTTATGCAAAGGCAACAGCATAGCTGATATTGTTAGCTTCTAAACTACACTTTTGAACATGCTGTGATAACTTTGGCTAATATATATATATTAGTATTTCACACTAGAATATTGATTTCATTCAGTATGGAGTAAAGGAAAATGGCTTAAACATAATGGCATGATAAGATTACTAGTAATAATGAGTTGGCTTTGTTTAAAACCTTTGTTTGAGTCAGCATTATGAAGCGTGGGAGAAATAAGTGCCAGATGACATGTCCTATCATGGTAAATGCTACGAGTTGCAATGAGGATGCCAGAGAAATGTGATATTAAAATAAAGGGCAAAGGGGAAAATAATTGAAATGGCTAAAAATTCAATCCTTCTGTTATTAGTTAACATAATTTACATTTAAAAGAATATACACAAGGAAAGAATCTATAACATTATGTACAGAGCCATAGTTTTCAAAAGTCCTGAGAAGCAAGCTAAAAATAGCAAGAGTAAATTTTTTACCTTTATTTCACAGGAAAAGAGAAATAGCATTTTTTTTTCTGGATTGAACTAGTTCACAGGAAGTTCCTTTACATTTAAGTTACTATTTATTTTAATTTGTTTAACTTGAGCATTTATACCTAATGTGAATTGCAGGTTAATCTATTTTTAATTAGAGTAAATGAAAAAGATTTTCAACTGACGTCAAAGGAACTAAGGTTTAAATGTCAAATTTACTAATACAATAACTTTAAGTGAACAAGATTTCAACTTAAGCAAGACGTTATTCCAATTCAATTGTCTGTTATAGCTTAACATTAACACTAGTTGGTACACTTTTACTAAACACTTCCTGTCCCCCTTATTTTAGAAGAAGAAAAATCTGAGGCTTTAAAACTTGAATCAGTTGACCAAGATGACAAGGTTGGAGGGTATTAAAGCAAGACTTTGAACACAATCTGACCCCAAACCTTACTGCCTAAAACACTAGTAGTAATAATAGTTAACAGGGACACAGCAAGTTTTTCTATGTGCAAGGCACTATTGTACACACTGTATAAATATTTTGTCCTTTAACCTTCACATCAGTACTATAAGGTAGGAATAAATATTATCTTCATATTACAGAGGAGAAAATCAACACACAGAGACACATAATCTGTCCAAGGTCACACAGCTTCACACAGCTAGTGAGGGACAGACCTAAATTTTGAAACTGGGAGTCTGGCTCAAAGCTCAGGCTGCTAAATAATCCCCTCCCCTAAATCTATGTCTGCTTTATTTTAAAATATTTTATATCCTGATACATTATATGTAAAGGCTGAATGTCAAGCTAGAAGGTACTTTTTTGAAGTTTCTGCTTTTAAATGACAGACATGATAGGGACTGGTCTTACACTAGTGAACAAGGTGGATAGATCCACACCCACACTAACTTAAAAGCTTAGGAGGGATGAGAGAATACAGGAGTGCGTGTTAATATAGGGAACATACAAGATTTATGGGATTCCAATCAGATGACATGAGTTAATTCAATAAGCCAGATTAGGTCCCTTTGATTATATAATGCTTAAACTGATAAGTGAATGTTAGGTGCTATCTAGGAACTCATGGGGATGAATTTCAGTGTGACAATGTAGAAAGTCTGCAGGTATGATGGTAAGAGACAATAATCTAATGGAGAAACTGAAAACAGATTCTCAGAGCCTGAGAAGTGATGGTGAGCATACTATTATTCGAGGATGGAAAACTGTATGGGAAAAATTCATGTGGGGCTGTGATAAGGGTGGGCAATTAATTATTCTAATGGAAATGGGATATCATCAAGACATTTTAAATAAAATGGTAAAGTGTCAGATTTGTGTTTTAGTAAGATTGTTTGGCTTGAAGAACAGAGGATGGATTGTAATGGAGCAAGACTGGAGGCAGATAGATAAAGTTATAAGTCTATTCCAAATGCCCAGGCAACAGATGCTGGTGACCTAGACCAGGAAGCTTTCAGTGGCTGAGGAGAGAAGGAGACAGGTGATGGAAATATTTAGAAGGTGAACTCTCCTATTTGTGGCCAAGTACATGTAAAAGATGACAGAGAAGTAGTAGTTCAGGTTAACTCTTAGATTTCTAGACTCAGTGACTGGGATAATGGTGGTGCTACTTACTAATTCAAAGAACATCACAGTAGAGCAAGAGGACGACAAGGTCATTTTTGGAGTATTGAGTTTGAAGTGCTTAAAGGAAAACTAAATGGACATGTCAATACGTAATACAGGTTACAAGACAAAAGTTTAAGCTGGGAATGGACATTTTGGAGTCATAAGTTTATACTAGGTATCAGTAGGGAGAACTTTAAGAGAAGTTACCTCCCCCGCCTTTTTTTAGGGAGAGCTACAAAATGTTAACTTTTAAAGGGTCCAAAAACATATAGAATTTTAGCCAATTATTATAATTGGCTAAAATACAGAGTATATTTACAAAATTATAAATGTTGCAATAGCCTTTTTATAAATGATTTTTATAAAGATGGAGATCCAAATTCATTATTAAAACATCTATTGCATCCCTCCCAGAAAAGACAAGTTTTAGTTTTGAAATACAAAGACGGAAATTCTGAAAAATAAAGGCAACAATTTCCTTACAGTGAAAGAATGAGTATGCTATCCTTGTGATGACTTTGCTTGCTTGCAGTAATGAGTGAATGACTTTGAATTATACGAAGGTTAATTAACTGGTCATTCTTGATGAGAGTGTAACTCTGTTGTGGGTCATTTGTGACAAACAGTAAATGCATGGCAGATTTAACTTGACATTCCTGTTTCAGGCCATCCTTTGAATAAAATTCTAAATGCACTTTCTGTTGAATTTTGACTGCTGCCATATGTACGAATTAGCAAAGTCTAAGCAGCTGGATGAATGTACGGATTTGATGCATTAAATCTGTTCAAAGGCACAAGTTTCTGGAGAGATGGTGGTTTAAAATGTCTCTAATGAAAAGATGTCTCTAAGGGGTTCCTGCATAGCAGCCAATGCAAAATTAATAGAGGAAAAAGAAGTTTCAAAAAAGATCCACGACTCAGCTGATAAAAGAGAGGCCAAAACTATTTAAAATGTCCTAAATGATTTTTGCAAAGGGTAAGAAAGCATAATAGGCTAGAAATTAGAGATAATACAGTTTCTTGAAATGATTCTACCCAACACACCACATTTAGTTCTGTAGGCTGTTAACTGCAGAAGTATTCATTGTGAATGGTGCCCCCTGGAAGTGTGCAATGAATAGTTGCCTATTCCTTTTTGATTTTGTGAATAATTCTGCTGCCAGCAAACAATTATTTTTTTCTTTGGCCAAACATTTTACCTCAACAAATAAGATACAAAAACATAAATTTTGTTCACATAAAGCAATACCATAAATTATACTGATTAATTTCATAAATATTGAATGCAGTTTAGTGAATTGGAAATTTATGGTTCAGTGCATAAATACCTAATATATAATTCTGGAACTCTAAAACATAATAAGGATATTGCTTTGCATTATATGACATACATTATATACTGCCTTGAAACACCTTATATATTTAGGATTTTTAATTATTCCACTCAACCAATTATATCTAACTAAAATTATTCTAGAATTGTTGAAAATGCCAATTCAGTTTAATGTGATAAAATGACATTTGACTGGAATCTATTATAACTGGCATTGTGGCTGTTTTGATTTATTTTCAGTACTGAACACAGATATCATTTATTTTAATATTTCTTTTCTCTGGCAATATAAGAAGAGCCTAGTAAGCCAAGGCTTATGAATAAAGCATGTGTTTGTTTCATTAGTATTTTCATGATTAGCTGTGTGGGGACTTACGGATGTGTTGTAGGGAATAGAGATTGAACTAGGGTATAGATTTTCTCCAGATAGAGACAGACGCCATATGTTTTTGTAAAAATGAATAACTTGTATTGATTTTCAAATATTTTATTATACATAATAATAAGGAAATATTCAAATTTTCTTGCTTTATTAGTCCAAGGAAAACAAAACAAAATAAAATATGATTGCTTTATTTAAAAGTATCTCATAATTGTGTGGTGGCCAAAAGATATTCTTTTATGTTAAAAATATTTCTGTGGGTATGTGTATTAGTAAAATGACAGAAAATAAGTAAATAAAAGAACTCCCAGTTGGTATATTAATGGTTTGATACATTTTTGTATCCTTACGTACATGCGTATACACACACACACACACCCCCCACACACACACAGCAAAGTTGAAATGATTACCTTGATATTTCCAAGACTATTATTCAGTTTGGATTTATGTTGTGATAGTCTGCTGACAGGTGAGAAAGAGTGAAGGCATATACAGTTATAACAACAGAAATACTGCACTTCCTGTGTCTGATAATTTGTGGTTTTGCATTTGGATGATTACATACATGTTTCATTGCACAGGAATGTTTCTGTTATATGTTATTCAAATTTTCTGATAAAACTTAAGGGTCATGGAAAAGTAAGTCTTTGAATAAATACAGATTATGATTTAATTTTAAAATAATATTCAATATACCATGTGATAAAGATTAAGCTCCTTGGATTTTGTATCTCTACTTTATCTTTTACCAGATGTTCATTTATCAGTGGTGACACCTAAAATCTAGTATTCTTTTCTGTAAGATGAAATAGTAATCTTCAGAGATAATACTTTAAACATTTAATGGCTATGAAGACACGAACCAGTCATAAGAAAATCTGTCAATCACATTGGGCAAAGCACCTGAATATCAGTCCATGTAACATCTGCTTTACATGTGAGGTGAGATGAATGTAAGAATTAAAATTAACTAAGACAATATATGTAAAGAAAAGAGTGCCTAACACATATTGGCTAAGTTACCAAATGTTAGCTGAGTGTTTTATTTCCTTATTTTGCTGACCTCTCAACATTAATTGAACAAACAACGTAAGTTAGAGAGTTAAGAATTGAGTCAAGGGCTGATAAAATAAATGAGCAATTCTCAAATCTTGTTTAAACTCTGCCAAAGGCAAGGTAAATATTGCAAAACATGTTTCTATGTACAATCATGAAATTTATAATGTAAATTTCATGATAAATGGAGGACACCAGGAATCAATAAATTTCTTGCTTAATCATGACCTCTTCTTGAGCTTATTAGCAGTTCCCTGATTGCCAAAATAAACCTTGATAAGTTAATGCCTGTGCAGAGAGCACATTCTAATCTTCCTGGAAAATCGTATTAGAAGACACTGTGATTAGAAGTGCATCCTCAGGTTTAAGTTTATTCTTAAACGCTAGTGAGTAAATTTCAAAAGCATAGAAAGAAAAATTCAAGGAAAATGGAAATTTCTCTCAAAAGTAACTGCTTGGGGAGTTTATGGCATATTCAAATTAGATATAAATCACAAAGCAGTTTGTTGAGGCTTTGCAGAGGGTTACCAACCAGAATGACATGAGGACTTCTATTTTAAAACTTCCATTACCAGCTGTGAATATCTATCGTACACAGCAGTTTACAATCTTTAATAGCTTCTTATATCATTAGTTTCTCAACTTGTAGAGTTTCCTTTCTTTGGTAACAAATTTATCACTGGTGTACGTAATGTGAGAACCAAAGGAGTTCCTATTAAATTTTCTTGATAAATCAGCAAAAAACTGAGGAAAATATTTTAAGCCTAGAAAGTTGTTATTTTAGTATATTGCAACTGCCTGCTCTAAGAGATTGGTGTTCATAGAGTAATTTTACTTGTACAAAGTCAAATAAAATTAAAATGCAAAGTATCTATTAAGCAATTTCTATGTCTGCGTTGTTCAAGGTATTCAAGGTATGCTATTTTATATGTGTGTAAATGATGAGAAATGGGGTTTGAAAGAGACGTTCTAGGTTATCGAATTATGTACCTGTCTCCCAGGTTCAGAGCTAGAGTAAATTCCCCTTGTAGTAAAATGTGGTCATATGACTAATTTCTGGACAACGGAATGTAGTTGCAAGTGACGACCACTTCTGAGACCTGGGCCATAAAACTTTTATTTTCTCTTTGCAATCTGTTTTACTCCATGTGCAATGGAATAAGTGATGTATTACACTTGAAAGCCACATTTTGAAGATGACGGGGCCAGTAACAACCTGGGTCCCTGAATGCAATTTTAGAGCAAAATCTCTCCGAAGCAACACAAAAATGTTTGCAAGGTCATTGAAAAAAATTGACACCCCCACTAGTAATGCATGTGAATTTTCCCTCTTGAGTCTCAACTGAAAGCATGCCATCATAATCCCAACTTTCTGTCTAAAAACCCGACTTCGATCTTTTTCTTCCTAGCAGTGTGAGATCACTAGAAGTTTTGCCTAGGTTTTACATTTCTCAGCTTCCACTCTTCCTATCTTCTCAGCTTCTCATCCCATGAAACTTTAGAATAAGCAAATCTCAAGGGGAAATAAAGCTCAGAATATTGTCTTCTCTCCCTTCTCTGTTCTTGCCCCTTTTGCCTAGGGTCATAACCCACAAATCCTGGCTGCTCTGTAGCCCAAATTGGCATAATTCTTTCCCAGTACTGTGAGACTGCTGAAAGTTCTGCCTAACTTTTTGTTTCTTAGATGCCACTTTCTTTTTAGATTCTTCTTCTGTTGATGCATGGAAAGGAAAATGGAAGGTTCACTTCAGTAAATTTATCTTTTCTACGAGATTTTGATCCTCAAATTCTGCTACCTTGATTGCTTTGTAATGTCATCTAAAATCTGTGTTTTTCGTTGTTTTCTACTTTGTTTTATTTCTATTTTACTCAATGATTATGGTTGTTTTTGATAGAAGTGTTGGACTGAGACAAGCTGCTTTGTATATCTAGGTGCAGAAGTGTTTAGGTTTTCTTTCACATATGTGTGGCCCTCTCTTTGTAGACTGACAGTAATTTACCTCAGTACTGATATTATGGATTGCCCTTATTTACTGTTTCATTGATGGCCATTAGATTGCATGCCCTAAACAGAAAGCCATTCCAGGGACCTCAGGGTCATGCTCCTCTTCTGTACTCTGTACCTCTCTTCATCTTCCCCAATATTTCTCATCTAGAATTCTCTCAATTTCAATATTTAAAAAATAGGTCATTTTGAATCGTAACAATCTGGAAATACAATTATATATTTGCAATTACTTAGGCAGCTAAGAAAAGATTCTGATACTCAAAACTCCTATTTTAGATGAGCCTCTTGACTCTATGGGAGGTAACCTTCTGCCATTTGACTAAAATTTATACTATTATTCAGTCTCACAATATCAAGGCTATTATATGGCCTTTAACAAAGAAGAATTCTACCTTTAGTTCACATTTTCCATTTGTGTCTCCAGGTTTTGTCTTAAAAACATTTTCATAATTTTATACAAAACATTTTTATGCTTATGTACATCTACTCATGTGTAGTTTCTGGGCCTATTGAAGGTAAAGGAGCATAACATGTTTGTTTCTGTCTCCCTTTCTTTGGTTAAGTAAAATATTAACCATAAGAAATGGGCATTTGCAACAAAACTCCTGTGAAATAAAAGTAATAAAATGTGCAAATTCTGAGTTGTTGAAGGGATCCTGAAGAGCTCTGGAGAAAATATATCTATCATTTTCACCTAGATTCAATATTCTTCCCTCTTTTAAGCTTTCCTTGACCCTACAGCTTGCCTGTGTCTATGTTTTAACATATTTACAAAACACCTTCTACATGTCAAGGATTGTGTTAATAAATGAAGATTAATTACTATTTTAAAATGTTGACATATGTTTATTAAATGTCTCCAGATGTACAGATTTGACATTTTGAATTCCTTATTATTTTAAGTTGTAGGTATACTTCTGCGTGTTTTAAGGCATATTGCATGTACATATTGAGCATGCATAATACAATAATCTGAAATCCGAAATGCTCCAAAATCTGAAACTTTTTGAGTACCAACATGAAGTTAAAAGTAGAAAATTCCATACATAAGTACTTAGTACAAACTTTGCTTCATGTACAAAATTATTCAAAGTATTGTATAAAATTATCTCAGCTTATGTGTGTAAAGTATATATGAAACATAAGCAAATTTTGTTTTTAGACTTTGGTTTCATCCCCAAGATATCTTATTATGTCTGTGCAAATATTCTAAAATCCAAAAAAACAAATCCGAAATCTGAAACAATTCTGGTCCCAAGTGTTTTGGATAAAGGTTATCCAACTTACATTGCTCATTTTATTTGTTGTTATCCAAAAACTCAGTGACTTGAAACAATAATTTATAATTACCTTTTGTAATCCTGTGTGTTGACTGGCCTAAGCTGGGCAATTCTTTCTTGCAGTCTCCAGTGCTGCTGCAGTCATGTTGATAGCTTGACTGGACTGAGATGGCTCACGCAGATGGCTTTCAGTTGATATTGACTGTTGGGTGGCATTCATCAGAGACTATTGACTCTCTAGGACTCAGGCATGCTTCTCACAAGCATGCTGGCTGGGTTCCTAGAGGCAACATCACGAGAGTGTTCAAGTCAGCAGAAGTGGAAGAGGACAGTCTATTAAAACCTGAGCCTGGAAAATGTTTCACAATCAGAGCCACATGTTCTATTGGTCAGTGCAGCCCAACAGACAAAGCCCACCCTGTTTCAATGGGAAGGTATACAAATGCCATCTGTCAAAGGGAGGGCTGTCAAAAAATTTGTGGCCGTTTTTATTTCACTATATACATGGATGCATGTGTGCATTTATAATTACCTAAGAACTTAAAATTTCAAAGATAGAAAGTAACAGTAGAACTTTTTTTTCTTTTCTTCTCTTTCTCCCTCTCCCTTTCCCTCTCTCTTTCTTTCTTCTCTTTTTTTTTTTTTTTTTTTTTTGACAGGGGTCTTTTACTGTCACCCAGGCTGGGATGCAGTGGTGTGATCTTGGCTCACTGCAACCTCGGTCCCAGGCTCTAATGATCCTCCCAAGTAGCTGGGGCCACAGGTGCACACCACCACACCCAGGTTTTTTTGGTATTTTTAGTAGAGACAGGGTCTCTCCACGTTGCCCTGTCTCTACCCTGTCTCATGTTGAGTTCAAACTCTTGAATTCAAGTGATCCACCTGACTTAGCCTCCCAAAGTGCTGGGATTAGTGGCATTAGCCACCACGCCCAGCCAGAACATTTGTTTTTTCCCTCCCTAAATCTCACTGTTTTATTCAAATAATATTATTAGTTGGTCATTATTTATGTGAATCTTATTCTGCTTACTAAGTATATTTCAGTTTTATTTATTTTTACTTTAATAGAACCACACGTGTATTTTTCTGAAATTACTATTTTCATTTCACAATATGTAACATGGCAAATATATATAATAGCAAATATGTAATGTGAACCCCAAAGTATCTGAGACAGGTCTCAATCAATTTAGAAAGTTTATTTTTCCAAGGTTAAAGACACACCTGTGACACAGCTTCAGGTTGTCCTGACAACATGTATTCAGGGTGGTCTGGGTAGAGCTTACTTTCATACATTTTAGGGAGAGATAATACATCAATCAATACATGTAAGATGTACATTGGTTCGATCTGAAAAGGCAGAACCACTTGAAGCAGAAGTTTCCAGGTCATAGGTAGATTTAAAGATTTTCTGATTGGCAATTGATTGAAAGAGTCAAGTTATTATATAAAGACCTGGAAGCAATAGAAAGGAATGTCTGGCTTATGATAAGGGTATATAGAGACCAAAGTTTTATAGTGCAGATGAAGCCTCCAGATAGCAGGCTTTAGAGAAAAATAGATTGTAAATGTTTCTTTATCATACTTAAGGTCTGTGTTGATGTTTTTATTATTTAGGCAAGACAAGTAGTTCAGGAAATAATTGCTATTGAAAAGACAGTTTGTTAAACTCAGAGATTCTAAGAGAAGGGGGCCTGCTAGAAACACTAGCCTTGAGAAATGAAGGTTTAAGTTAGCATGGCCATTGTTTATACTCCTAGGCTGAAACCAGGCCAGACAGATAGGTCTGCATTGACAGGGGTCAGGGAACAAAGCCCTGGGTCTTGTACCAGCTCCCCAGGATTAGAGCATGAATCCCAGGAGTGCTGGGCTGATCCTTGCCACTCTGAAAATTTTCAGAAATGAAGCCAATCACTGAATAGACCTTATACCACAGACAAACCCTCAAGGGCATCAAAGAATATAGAAGCAAAAGCCCTATCCAAAGGACAGCAGCTTCAAAGATTAAAGGAATGTCAGCCCGCACAGGTGAGAAAGAAAAAATGCAAGAACTCTGACAAATCAAAAGTGTCTTCTTACTCAACCCAGAGTGTCTTCTTACCTCCAAATGACCACACTGGTTCCCTAGCAATGGGTCTTAACCAGGCTGAAATGACAGATAAAGAATTTAGATTCTGGATAGGAACGAAGATCTTCGAGATTCAGGAGGAAGTCAAAACCCAATTGAGGAATCTAAGGAATCCACTGAAACAATATAAGAGTTGAAAGATGAAGCAGACATTTTAAGAAGAATCAAACTGATCAGATAGAGCTGAAAAACTTGCTTCAAGAACTTTAGAATATACTCACAAGTATTAACAGCAGAATCAACCAAGCTGAGGAAAGAAGCTCGAAGACCGATTCTTGAAGTCAACTCAATCTGACAAAAACAAAGAAAAAAGAAAAGAATGAACAAAACCTCTGAGAAATATGGAATTATGTAAAGAAACCAATCCTAGTTCTCACTGGCATCCCTGAAAGAGAGGGAAAGAGAACAAGCAACTTGGAAAACATATTTGAGAGCATTGTCCATGAAAATTTCCCCAATCTTGCTAGAGATATTGACATTAAAATTCAGGAAATGCAGAGAATCCCTCTGAGTTATTACACAAGAAGACCATTCCTAAGACACACAGTCATCAGATTCTCCAAGGTCAATGTGAAAGAAATAATATTAAAGGCAGCTAAAGAGAAGGGGCAGGTCACCCATAAGGCTAACAGCAGACCTTTCAGCAGAAACCCTATAAGCCAAAAGATATTGGGGGCCTGTATTTAGCAGTGCTAAAGAAAAGAAATGACAACCAAGAATTTCATATCCAGCCAAACTAAGCTTCATAAGCAAAGGAGAAAAAAGATCCTTTCCTGATAAGTAAATGCCAAGGAAATTTGTTACCACTAGACCTGCTTTACAATAGGTCCTTAAAGGGATGCTAAACATGGGAAAAAAAATCACTGTCACTGACCACCACAAAACGTAACTACTGACACACTATAAAAAAACTACACAATCTAGTCTGAATAACGACCAGTTAACATGATGACAGGATCAAATATGCACATATCAATATTAACCTTGAATGTAAATTAGCTAAATGCCCCACTTAAAAGGCACAGAGTGGTAAGTTGAATAAAGAAGAAAGACCCAACTGTATATTGTCTTCAAGAGACCCATATAACATGCAATGACACCCATATGCTCAAAGTAAAGAGATGGAGAAAAATCTACCATGCAAATGAAAAACAAAGAACAGGGGTTGCTATTCAAATTTCAGACAAAACAGACTTTAAACCAACAATGACCAAAGAAGACAAAGAAAGGCATTACATAATGATAAAGGGCTTGATTCACAAGAAGACTTAATTATCCTAAATATATATGCACCCAATATTGGAGCACCCAGATTCACTAAAGCAAGCTCTTAGAGAAGTACTAAGAGAATTAGATAAGCATGCAATAATAGTAGAAAAGTTTAACACCCCACTGACAATATTAGAGAGATCATTGAGTCAGAAAACTTACAAAGATATTCAGGAACTGAACTCCGATGCTTGAGCAAATGAACTTAACAGATATCTACAGAACTCTCCACCCAAAAACAACAGAATATATATTTTTCTCATCAGCACTTGACACATATTCTAAAACTGATCACAGAATCAGCCATAAAACAATTCTCAATGAATTTTTTAAAAACCCTGAAATTATGTCAACCACACTCTTGGACCACAGTGCAATAAAAATAAAAATCAGTACTAAGAAGATCTCTCAAAATCATATAATTACATTAAAAAATCTTCTTCTGAATGACTTTTAGGTAAACAATAAAGTGAAGACAGAAAACAAGAAATTATTTTAAACTAATGAAAACAAAGATAAAACATACCAGAATCCCTGAGACTCAGCTAAAGCAGTGTTAAGAGGAAAGTTTATAGCTAAACACCCACATCAAAAAGTTAAAGATCTCAAATTAACAACCTCACATCACACCTAGAGGGACTAGGAAAACAAGAGTAAACCAACCTGAAAGCTAGCAGAAGAAAAGAAAATCAAAATCTGAGCTGAACTGAATGAAATTGAGATACATAAAAAACATAAAAAAGATAAA
Organism: Homo sapiens; assembly: GCF_000001405.40. Lineage (NCBI taxonomy): Eukaryota > Metazoa > Chordata > Mammalia > Primates > Hominidae > Homo > Homo sapiens. The sequence continues at coordinate 137,948,454 of NC_000004.12, read as the reverse complement.
CAAAACCAAAACATGATTATTTGAAAGAATAAATAAGACACGATGACAGGATCATGCAAGCCAGACTGATAAAGAAAAAAGGAGAGAAGACCCAAATAAACACAATCAGAAATGACAAAGCGGACATCACCACCAACCCCACAGAATTACAACAAAACAAAACAAAAAACCTGAGACTATTATGAACACTTCTATGAACACAAACTAGAAAACCTAGAAGAAATGGATACATTCCTAGAAGTACACAGCCTCCCAAGATTGAAACAGGAAGAAACTGAAACCCTGAACCAACTAATAACAAGTTCTGAAATTGAATCATTAATGAAAAGCCTACTGACTAGAAAAGCCCTGGAAGAGATGGATGTACAGCTAAATTCTACCAGACATATAAAGAAGAGCTTTGTCGCAATATGGATGAAGCTGGAAGTCATTATCCTAAATCAATTAACAGAATACCAAATACTGCATGCTTCACTTAAAAGTGGGAGGTAAACATTGAGTACACTTAGGCATAAAGAAGAAAACAATAGACAGTGGGGCCTACTTAAGGGTGGAGGGTGGCAGGAGGGTGAGGATTAAAAAATGACCTATTGGGTACCATGCTTATTACCCGAATAACAAAATTATCTGTACACCCATCCCCCACAACATGCAATTTACCCATATAACAAACCTGCACGTATACCCTGAACCTAAAATAAAATCTGGTAAGAAAAAAAAACAAAACACACAAAAAACAAAAGCAAGGAAGATGTGGCACAGCTAATTTTTATGAATTAAATAAGCCATCATGTTCATTATACTGGCAGCAGTAAAGGCCAGGCTACTCTTTCAAAGTTTTTATTGTTTAGACAAGACCAATAGGTCAGGAAATAATTGCTATTGAAAAGACAGTTTGTTATACTCAAAAATTCCAAGAGAAGGGAGCATGCCAGAAACACTAGCCTTGAGAAGTGAAGGTTTAAGTTAGCATGGCCATTGTTTATACTCCTAGGCTGAAACCAGGCCAGACAGGTAGGTGCATTGAATGAATTCCAAGAGATGAAAAGAGAGAGATAAGTTGCATTTGTAGGTTAAACTAGCTGCAAGAGGAGTGCATTTGCTGAGAAACTTCCTCTATTAGATATTGCCCCACTGGGCCTGGTATTTTCAACTGTGTGGTTGAACATATTGAGTCTACTTTTCTGTTGAAAATCTTCCTGGTCGTAAGCCATCACCAACCTGAGACTGGCTATGCCCTCTTCATGGGATGTGGAACCATAAGAACATAATCTTGTCAGTGAGTCCTACAGAGTAAAGTTTGAAAAATAAAACTCGGGAAGCTGTCTGGTGAGAGCAGGCCAGATATTTACAACTTTATAATTGAGGACTGTGAGGTAAAACAGTCAGTCACTTCAATAGTCTTACAAGCCAAAAGAGTCCCATAATGCACAATGGAAATGTATTGCTGCCATGAAGAGTGAGAGGTTGATTGAATACAAGGGCCAACACCCATGCTCACAATCAAGGGTAGGATCTTGCAAGAATATGACCAGGCCCACTTCACCAAAACTACTCTCAGCCTTATGATGTGAGAGAAATATTGAATGTAGAAATATGCAATTTATGTTTTCCTTATATGGTGAAAAAATAGATCCTGGAGTGCTGACATGACCTTGTTCATAGTTACTTACAAGAAACCAAATGAACCATTAATTTAGACTTCCTTTTAACTGGCACATCCCTCCCTCCATGCAGGTTGCTAAGACTACAGAACTTCAAGAGCACCTCACTGAGGAACTAGGGAGGAAATGGGAAGAGATCATCTGTCTTAAGTTTAGGCTCTGCAGATAAAGAGCCTGAGTTCTTACTCATCATGGAAGATTTCTGATCATTTACTCATAGGAGACTGCCTTCAGTAGAAGAAGAGTAGAAAAGTGAGATAGGGCAGGGTAAAAATGTTAAGTAAGAATGTACCTTTATCCTGATCCCCAAGGGAACCTCCAAAGGTAAATTATACCACAGAGTTAGTCCAGCTTTGAGGCTAGTGAGGGGAAGGGAGTGAAGGAGGTGGGGCAGTCTTTTAAAAAAATCTCGCATTAGTTGAATTACTAATAAGGAGATGCTGGAGCCCGATTTATATTTCAAGGCATCTCCCTTTTGGCACAAGCCAATTCTCTAGGGAAGGCGACAGCCATCAGAAATTAGCAAACCACATCCACAGCTGGATATGCGTACATTAGCCAGGTAAAGGGCACCTGAGTGTACATTCACAGCATGTATAAATTATCTCTTCAGTTGTTTTATTAATATAATGCATATATTTTATTATGGGTTTTGCAAGATCAGTTTTTAATCAATCCTGTTCATTATCTACAATATTTGACCCAATCTAGCCTAGTTCTACCTTAATTCACCCAAATATATTAATTTTCCTGCCAATAACCTATGTAGATTTTATATAGAGTTTGGGTCCACGTGCCTTTGAGTAAATGGAAAATCGCATCTACCAATTACATTGGGAACTATCCCTTGAAACTTGTATGCCTCCATAATTCTTTTTCAATTCTTTATTTTTTCCGTTTCTTAATATAGTTAAGATCTGTCTTCTTTGTGTCTCTAAACATTCTTATACTTCTTTTTTTATAAAAGAGATAATTATGTTTATTAATAATTCTCAAAATCACTACACGGATAGACTAAGACAAGTTTTTCACTGTGAAACTAACAATAATTGATAATTTTTGCCTCTCAACATATAGACGATATAAAGATGAGGATTAAAACAATACAGCAGAGAAAAAAAGTCCCGAAAGTGAATGATAAATACAAATATTTGAGCTAGGGCTTACACATTTATATAAAAAATTAGCTTGAAAAATACTTCAATTTCAGAAAATGAACTAATAATAAAAATGCCTAAAACTTTGTGAATCTATAGTTAAAAGTAACAATTTAATCAACCTTTTTGAAAGTGCTATGAAATAAGAACATGAATGTCTTGAGGAAAATCATAGCCAACTTTTTACAATTTAAGTAAAGGAAATGAGCTTGTTTTTAAAATGTAGAGATCTAAGAATTCGTATATTTATAGTTGGTGCTTAGAGACTTTTGATTATTACTGTATAGCCTAATTAGGAACTTATGTTCTGGTAATGATATCATATCAGTAAGGAAAATAAAATGTTTCAGTAAGAAATTCTTCTCTGTGAATTGCTTTTGTTTTTAATTTAATAGTTTATATGGATTTTCTCACTTATGAAATGAAATAAAAACAACTCATTTTCTATCCATTAGGTGTACTTCTCATAGATATGGAGTAAATGTTACCTTTAAATATCACTGTAAATTATAAGTAATTTGATGCATATAAAGTGATCATGCAGTTCTCTTTTAATTAGGAAAGTGCTTAATGATGTAATACTTTTGACTGATATCTTCCTCAGTTGTGTGAATCAACACAGAGGATTTTAACCTCATGTTAAACCATAGGTTCCACAGTGGTTTATTCTTGCTCTGGTCTTTATACATATACATCAAAGGTTTTACCTTAACCTGTGTGTGTGTATGTATGTATGTATGTATATATATATATATATATATATATATATATATATATAACTTAAGAGATTGCAGACCATCAATACTAGGCAGACGAGTTTATTCAGGATTGAGTAAAATTACATTCACACGAAGCATTCAATTTTTCAGGAGAAAGTGATAAAGACTTGCTGTAACATAATGGTTCTCAACCTTGGCTGCATCTTGGAAAATCACGGTAAAATTTTAAAACGTAGGGCTTTCTGGGTCTCATCCCCAAGGATCCTGGTTTAATTGGCTGATGTGTGGCCCGATCATTAAAATTTTTTAAAACTCCCGAAGTATTTCTCTTGTATACCTAAGGGTACACACCACTGGAAAAGCTCATCTATATATGTCTAGGCTATTTTAAGGACTCAGTTTTCCAGCAGGTAGGTAATGTGTTTGAGTTGATGTACCCAACAGAAGCGTGCACCTCAGTAAGCTCCACTATGAAGACTAGCCTCTTCAGACCTCACCTCTGGGAAATGCTCTTTAGAGTGACGAACTTGTGGCATTTGTTTCATAAATGATGACATTTAGAAACAATATTGACAATATATTATTTAAAATTTTATATTAATTAAATCACTATAATGCACTAGTCTAGAATTTGCTTTTTCACTTGTTTCTAAATTTCATTCATGCTACTACGTATTTAATTTTTTGTCATTTTTAAATAGTATAATTTCATAATACAACATATTTTATTTTGCTTTGGATATATATTTTGTAATTTTTGGTTTGTTATTACAAATATTGCCATGATTAACATTTTTGTATGTATCTTGTAGCTCTTGGGTGTATATCAAAAAGTTTAATTCCTGGCTTGTAAGGCATGTATAGAATCACCTTAATAGATAAGGGCATAATTGATTTTCAAGTAGTTGTACCATTTTACATTTTATTAGCTTTATTTAAGAGTTCCAGATGCTCTACATCTTTGCCACTATTTCATCTTGTGAAAACTTGAAATCTAGCTTACTGTGTAATAATAACATTATGGTTTTAACTTGAAGGTCTTTGAAAGCTCATAATATAAGACATGTAGACATGTTTCATGTATTTATTGGTCATTTGTGTTTTCTATTCTCTGAAGTATCTATCCTTTTGCATCTTTCTGGGGAGTTATCTGTTTTTTCTTATTTATTTATAGTTATTTTTCCCCACCCGAGTGCCCCCTGCTCTATTTATAGAGTTTTAACAATTAAACTTTCTGTATCACAATCCTTTTTCATGTCACACAAGTGTCTTCCCCACGTTTGGCCTGTCTTTCATGAACATTGGTCCTAATTTTTAATGTAATGGGACTTGTAAATTTTTGTTTTACATGTTTTTACATTTATTTAACAAATATTTTCTTCCTTATATCAGATACACACATTCTATATTATCTTTAGTAACTGTATGGCTATTTTTACATTGTTTTAATCCACTCAGATTGATTTTTGTATGTTATTGTGTCTGGAATTGGTGGGTTCTTGGTCTCACTTACTTCAAGAATGAGGCCGCGCACCCTCACGGTGAGGTTTACAGCTCCTAAGGTGGCACGTCTGGAGTTTATCCCTTCTGATGTTCAAATGTGTTCGGAGTTTCTTCCTTCTGGTGGGTTCGTGGTCTCGCTGGCTCAGGAGTGAAGCTGCAGACCTTCGCGGTGAGTGTTACAGCTCTTAAGGCAGCGCGTCTGGAGCTCCTCGTTCCTCCGGGTGGGCTCGTAGTCTCGCTGGGCTCAGGTGTGAAGCTGCAGATCTTCGCCGTGAGTGTTACAGCTCATAAGAGCAGCCTGGACCCAAAGAGCGAGCAGTAGCAAGATTTACTGCAAAAAGCGAAAAAACAAAGCTTCCACAGTCTGGAAGGGGACGCGAGCGGGTTGCCAATGCTGGCTCGGGCAGCCTGCTTTTATTCTCTTATCTGGTCCCACCTACATCCTGCTGATTGGTAGAGCCCAGTGGCCTGTTTTGTCAGGGCGCTGATTGGTGCGTTTACAATCCCTGCCCTAGATACAAAGGTTCTCTACGTCCCCATCAGATTACTTAGATACAGAGTTTCCACACACAGGTTCTCCAAGGCCCCACCAGAGCAGCTAGATACAGAGTGTCGATTGGTGCACTCACAAACCTTGAGCTAAACACAGGGTGCCGATTGGTGTGTTTACAAACCTTGATCTAGATACAGAGTGCCGATTGGTGTATTTACAATCCTTGAGCTAGACATAAAGGTTCTCCACGTCCTCACCAGAGCAGCTAGATACAGAGTGTCGATTGGTGCACTCACAAACCTTGAGCTAAACACAGGGTGCTGATTGGTGTATTTACAATCCCTGAGCTAGATATAAAGACTCTCCAAGTCCCCACCAGACTCAGGAGCCCAGCTGGCTTCACCCAGTGGATCCCGCACCGGGGCTGCAGGTGGAGCTGCCTGCCGGTCCTGCGCTGTGAGCTCACATTCCTCAGCCCTTGGGTGGTCGATGGGACTGGGCGCCGTGGAGCAGGGGGTGGCGCTCGTCGGGGAGGCTCCGGCCGCACAGGAGCCCACGGAGGGGGTGGGAGGCTCAGGCATGGCGGGCTGCAGGTCCCGAGCCCTGCCCCGTGGGAAGGCAGCCAAGGCCCGGCGAGAAATCGAGCACAGCGCTGGTGGGCCGGCAGTGCTGGGGGACCCAGTACACCCTCCGCAGCAACTGGCCCGCGTGCTAAGTCCCCCATTGCCTGGGGCCAGCAGGGCTGGCTGGCTGCTCCCAGTGCGGGGCCCACCAAGCCCACGCCCACCTGGAACTCCAGTTGGCCCGCAAGTGCCGCACACAGCCCCGGTTCCCGCTCGTGTCTCTCCCTCCACACCTCCCTGCAAGCTGAGGGAGTGGGCTCCGGCCTTGGCCAGCCCAGAAAGGGGCTCCCACAGTGCAGTGGGGGACTGAAGGGCTCCTCAAATGCCACCAAAGTGGGAGCCCAGGCAGGGGAGGTGCCGAGAGCAAGGGAGGGCTCTGAAGACTGCCAGCACGCTGTTACCTCTCATTATGAAGTAGAGATTCAGCTTTCTTTTTCTTTTTTTTTGAGACGGAGTCTCGCTCTGTCCCCCAGGCTGGAGTGCATTGGCGCGATCTCAGCTCACTGCAAGCTCCGCCTCCCGGTTTCACGCCATTCTCCTGCCTCAGCCTCCCGAGTAGCTGGGACTACAGGCGCCCGCCAATACGCCCGGCTAATTTTTTGTATTTTTGGTAGAGATGGGGTTTCACCGTGTTAGCCAGGATGGTCTCGATCTCCTGACCTCGTGATCCGCCCATCTCGGCCTCCCAAAGTGCTGGGATTACAGGCATGAGCCACAGTCCCCGGCCAGCTTTATTTTTCATTAAGGGTAATTACTTGCTTGGACACCATTGATTATGTTTCCATATACATATTAGCCTTTGGGGGAGGATTATATATTCTATTGCATTAGTTTATTTGTCTAGCTCTATGCTAATAACATTTAATAAATTGGGTTAATTTCTATGGCATGGTAGATGTAGGGCTGGAAAAAATGTGATATCTTTCCTCCCCATCTTAACGGTCACAGCTGACATTCCCATAACAAAAGACAGATTAACAAGACAGAACATAACACATTTATGCAATCACAGTTTTACATGACATGGGAGCCTTCAAAATGAAGACCCAAAGACCAGGGAAAAATTTTATGCTTAGGTTCAGTGAAAATTTCATTCTGTTTTATGCCTGAATAGTAGTCCAGGCATAAAACACACACACACGCACACACATGCACATGCACACACACATGCACACACACGAGTGCCATATTTTTTTCCATTTTTCTATGTAAGGTTATTTAGTTTGATTCCATTGATTCCATATCTTGGCTATTTGTAATACTGCTACAATAAATATGAGAGTGCAGATATCTTTGCAAAATACTGATTTCATTTCCTTTGTATATATACCCAGTACTGGATTGCCAGGTAAAATGGTAGATATTTTTTTTTTTTAACTTTCTGAGGAACCTCCATACTATTCTCATAATGACTATGCTAATTTACAGTCTCACCAATAGTGCATAAGAGTTATCCTTTCTCCACCTTCTTACCAGCAATTTTTTTTTCTTTTTGATAATAGCTGTTTTAATTGTCATGAAGTGGCATCTAATTGAAGCTTTGATTTGCATTTCCCTAATAGTTATGTTACGCATTTAAAAAAATATATCTGTTTTTTCTATGCCTTTTATTGAGAAATGTCTATGCAGGTCTTTTGCCTACTTTTTAATGAAATTATTTCAATTTTTCTACTATTGAGATTTTTAATATATTTTGTATATTAGCCCTCTGTCAGATGCATACTTTGCAAATATTTTCTCCCATTTTGTAGGTTGTCTCTACTCACTTTGAAGTTTTTTAGTTTGAGATAATCTCATTTGCTTATTTTGCTTTTGTTGCCTGTGCTTTTGAGGTCTCATTAAAAAAATTTTTTGACTAGTCCTATTTCATGAAGCATTTCCTCTATATTTTCATCTGGTAGTTTCATAGTTCAAGATCTTACATTTAAGTCTTTAATCCATTTAGAGTTAATTTTTGTAAATGGTGAAATGTAGGGTTCTAGTTTCATTCTTCCATATGTGAATACCCAGTTTTCATAGCACCATTTATCAAAGAGACTGTCCCTTCTCCAAGTGTGTGTTCTTGGTGTCTTTGTCAAAAATCAATTGTTTGTAAATGCATGGATTTATTTCTGGGTACTCTATTTTGTTCCATTGGGCTTTGTGTCTGTTTTATGCCAGTACCATGCTGTTTTGATTACTATAGCTTTGTAGTATATTTTGCAATCAGGTAGTCAGCCTTCAGTTTGTTATTTTTGCTCAAGATTGCTTTGGCTATTCAGAGTCTTTTGCTTTTTCATATGAATTCTAAGTTTTTTTCTGTATCTATGAAGAGCATCATTGGGTGTCATGGGTATTTTGTATAGAGATTGCATTAAATCTATAAATTGCTTTGAGTAATACGCACATTTTAACAATATTAATTCTTTCAGTACATAAACATAGGATATCTTTCCATTTGTGTTCTCTTCAATTTCTTTCATCACTGTTTTATGATTAATGTAATAATTAATTTTATAAATAATGTAATTATAGAGCTCTTTTACTTCCTTGGTTAAATTTGTTCCTACTTATTTTTTTTGTAGCTATTGTAAATAGAATTGCTTTTTTGATTCATTTTACAGATAGTTCGCTTCTGCCATGTAGAAATGCTACTGATTTTTGGATACTGATTTAATATCCTGCAACTTTACTAAATTTACCTGTTAATTCTAACAGTTTTTAATGGAGCATTTAAGGCTACATGTATATAAATATAGAATTATAAGTTATATATAATTATGAATTATTTGTATTTATATATAATAAATAAAAATATATGCATAATATTTATCTGCAAACAGGGACAATTTGACTTTTTTTGTCCAATTTGGATGTCCTTCATTTTTTCTTCTTGCCTATAAGCTCTGGCTAGAGCTTCTAGTACCATATTGAATAAAAGTGGTTAAAGTGGGCATTTTTGTCTTTTTCTACATCTCAGAGGAAAAGCTTTCAACTTTTCCCTTTTTGGTACTTTGTTTAGCTGTGAGTTAGTCATATATGGCCTTTGTCATGCTGAGATATGTTCCTTCTACACCCAATTTGTTAAGAGTTATCATTAAGGGATGTTGAATTTTGTCAAATTCTTTTTCAACATATATTGAAATGATCATATGGTTTTTGTCCTTGATTCTGTTCATGTGATATATCACATTTTTATTTATTTATTTATTTATTTATTTGTTTATTTGAGATAGAGTCTCACACTGTCACAGAGGCTGGAGTGCAGTGGCGAAATCGCGGCTTAGTGCAAGCTCCGCCTCCTAGGTTCACACCATTCTCCTGCCTCAGCCTCCTGAGTAGCTGGAACTACAGGCAGCTGCCACCATGCCCGGCTAATTTTTTTTGTATTTTTAGTAGAGACAGGGTTTCACCGTGTTGGCCAGGATGGTCTCAATCTCCTGACCTCGTGATCCGTCCGCCTTGGCCTCCCAAAGTGCTGAGATTACAGGCATGAGCCACCGTGCCTGGCCAATATATCACATTTATTGATTTGTGTATGTTGAACCATCATTCCTTCTCTGGGATGAATTCCATTTGATCATGGTAATTCATCTTTTAAATGTGTTGTCAAAATCAGTTGGCTAGTGTTTTGTTGATAATTTTGCTTGTATGTTTATCAGGGATATTGGTCTATAGTTATCTTTTTGTGGCATCCTTGTCTGATTTTGATATCAAGGTAATACTGGCATTGTAGAATGTGTTGAGAAGCATTCCTTCCTCTTCACTTTTTTGAAATAGTTTGAGTAGAATTGGTATTATTTAAATGCTTGGTAGTGCTTGGTAGAATTCAATAGTGAAGCCATTAGGTCCTAAGCTTATCTTTGTGGGAAACATTTATTACTGCTTTGATCTTGTTACTGATGGTCTGTTCAGGTTTTCTATTTCTTCATAATTCAGTCTTAGTAAGTTGTATGTGTACAGGAATTTATACATTTCTTCCAGGTTTTCCAATTTGTTGACATACAGTTTTTCATAATATTTTCTTATGATCCATTGTATTTCCGTGCTATCAGAGTAATGTCTCCATTTTCATCTCTAATTTTATTTATTTGAGTTTTCTCTCTTTTCTTAGTCTTGCTAAATGTTTGTTGATTTTGCTTATCTTTTTAAATAACCAGCTCTTTGTTTTGTTGATCTTTTATATTGTTTTCTTAGTCTCTAGTTTGATTATTTCCATTTTTATGTTTATTACTTTTTTCTGCTTATTTAGGGTTTGGTTTGTTCTTATTTTTCATGTTCATTGAGGTATAATGTTAGGTTGTTTATTTGAGATCTTTCTACTTTTTTTGATGAAGGTTTTTATTGCTCTAAACGTCCCTCTTAAAACTGCTTTTGCTATATCCCATAGGTTTTGGTATGTTGTGTTTTTTCATTTTCATTTATCTCAAGACATTTTAAAATTTCCTCTTTAATTTCTTTATTGACCCATGGATTGTTCATGAGCATGTTAATTTCCATGCATTTCTATAATTCTAGAATTCTTCCTGTTATTTATTTCTAGTTTTATTATGGTCAGAAAAGACACTTGATATGATTTTAATTTTTTAGATTTAAGACTTGTTTATGGCTTAACAAATTATCTAATCTGGAAAATGCTTCATGTGCTGTTGAGAAGAATCTGTATTCTGCAGCTATAGGGTAAAATGTTTTCTAAATATATGTTACGTCCATTTCGTCTAGAGTGTAGTTTAACTCCAGTGTGTATTAATTTTCTCACTGAACATGTATGTGGAAATGTGTTGTTGAAGTCTCCTACTATGATTATATTGCAGTTGATCTCTTCCTTTAGAAATGTTAATATTTGCTTTATATATTTAATTGGTCCAGTGTTGGGTATATACATATATATATTTACAATTGTTACATCCTATTCCTCTCCTGAACACTTTTTCATCATATAATGGCCTTTTTTTTCTATTTTTAAAAAATAATTTTGACTTAAAGTTTATTTTGTTTAATATAAGTATAGCTACTCCTGCTTTTTTGTGTTCATTGGTTTCCACTTGCATGGAATATATTTTCCATCCTTTAGCTTTCTTTCGGTCTATGCATGTCTTTATACGTGAAGTGAGTTTCTTATAGGCAGCATATAATTGAGTCTTATTTTTTAATCTATTCAGCCACTCTGTCTTTTATTTGGAGAATTTAGTCCATTTACATTTAAGCTTATTATTGATAGGCAAAGACTTACTATTACCATTTTGTTACTTGTTTTCTGGTTGTTTCAAAACTCCTCTGATCCTTTCTTTTCTACTGTTTTCATTTGTGGTTAAATGATTTTTTTTCCTAATAATATGTTCTGTTTCTTTGCTTTTTAAGCTGTGGTGATTTTGGGGGATTGATGTATGTATTACAGATTTTTGCTTTGTGGACACTATGAAGTTTACAAAATGCTTTGTAGTTACAATAAGTTATTTTAAACTGATGACAACCTAGCTTTGATTGTAAAGAAAACAAACCAACAAAAAAACTAAAAAAAATAAAATTTCTACACTTTAGAAATCCTATTCCTATCCCATTCCACATTTTGACTTTTTGATGTCTCAGTTTACATCTTTTAATATTGCCTATCTCTTAATAAATTATTGTTATCATTATTGTTTTGATAGTTTTGTCTTTTCATACTAAAATATAAGTGGTTTACACTCCACAATTGTAGCAGGAGAGTATGTTTCTAGCAGCTGTGATTATAACAATTTTGCTTGTGTCTTCATTTTTTTATTACTCTTGTCATAGGTTTTTACATGATATTAATGTTTTTAAAAGGCAAATTGATTTTTCTTTATTAATTTTACTTTTGGTTTCTAAGTCATGTCTTTTTGCCCTATGAAAAATTATTTTTTCTTTATATTATTTTGATATATTCTGATTTTTCTTCCTTCTTGTAATAGTTAGCTCACTACTATTTAGCTCATATACATTTCTATATTCTAAAATTAGCATATGACATGTTTAAATTTAAAGTATTTTTTCTCAAAATATCTCATAAGCTAATCCTAGAATTATTTCTTTACGATTTACATCTACAATTTGTTTATTCTCAGTATCATTTCTCTTTGATCCAGGATTTACTCAGATTTGCATTCTTAAAATTTGATCTGAATGGAAAATTGTGGTTATCTTTTAAAACTTTTTAAGTTAATTTAGAGCTAGTTGTTTTATGATAATAATCATTTTCAATTTATAGAAATTTGTGTAAATTTTCATAAATGATGTGTGCTTAAAATAATTTTTAAGGAGTATATTCTTCATATGCCTATCATGTTAAGCTTATTAATTTTATAATACTTTCTGGCATTGGTTAATGAACCTATCCAAACAAGATATGTTGAAATGATAACATTGTGGTAAATTTTAGATTTCTCTTTTAATTCTATCAGTTGGTTTTCACTTTACAAAAGGCTCCATTGTTTGGTGTATAAAAGTTTATAATTAGTTTTTCTTGCTGAAAAAAATCAAATCATTTATCAATATATGATTCCTTTTATTTTTAATATTGCTTTTTACTTAAAGTTTAGCTTTCTATACTCATGAAGCAATAAATTCCTTCTTTTGGATAGAATTTATGTGATATATGTTTTTTTTTAAATTGCCGCATGACAACTTCTGTTTGTAGCATTGGGGTTTTAGCATATTTCTATTTTTAATGATAACTGATACATTTGGATTTATTCTACCATCTTCCTTTGGGCTTTATGCAAGATTTTCTAAATCCCCTGGTGTATGGTTCTAGGCTTTGTCTTTTGTTCTCCATATCCTTACTTGTCATATAAATGCAAAGCTTGGCGCTTACTTACCCAGGCTACCTGAAATTGCTGATATAAAAAAAAGCCATCAAAAGTCATCAGACGAGTAGCGTATTTCATCTTACCCCAGATTTACTTGTCAAAGTCTAAGTTCCTATAAAGCCCAATGCTGCTATTAAATGATCCAGGTTAGAATGTATAACTGGCTTAGGGTGCTGAGAACTTGGGCATGTTTATAAAATGATTGGCTATGTACTCTTGATCTGACTAATTATTTGTGCTGAAATTTTCTTAGTAGCTTTGGAAAGTGGAAACGCTGCTAGGTGGCCCTTCCCATGCTCAGTTCTCTGCCATCTGTGGGCATGCTGCTGCTACTTGGCCCAGTTTTATAGCTATTCTGCTACATGCTGCCACCTCTGTGCTTTCCTCTTCTCTTCTGTGCCAATAATCACAGCTGCTGCTGTTTGCTGCCTGCTTTCCCAGATGTTTTTTTATATTTAGGATGGCAACAGGAGTAAGAAAAAGCTGTGGTGATTTCAGGGGATTGATAAATGAACAACAGAGAGCTAGACTTGGAGTGTTTTACAAATATTTTCACCATTTTCCAGTGGCCCTTGGGGGTGATTTCTAGTTCCCCACATCCATGGAATCTTACTTCATTACTTGGCCCCTTTTCATTCACTCAGTAAACATTGTTTTAAATTTTATCGATGAGCTACAATTCAAAAACTTTGTTGTAGCAGAAGTGTGGTATTACCATTTCTCATGCTCTCTTTCTAAACACTGAGGTGCAATTTATTAAAATAGGCAAGTAAGTACACACCTGAATACATTATATATATATGCATACCTTTGTAATTACCACTCAGATCAAGATATACTAATTTTATTTCTCCACCAGATTCCTTTTTGTCCTTTTCCAGGCAATACCTATGTTTGTTTACTCACCATCAGACATAGCCACTATTCTGACTTTTATTACCACCAATTAGTTTTGTCTGGTCTTGAATTTTATATAAATGGTACACACAGCATTTTATGGTGAAAATTCTTCCTCGTATACAACCATAAACTTTATACTTTGATGGGATGTCATGGAGAAGGACAAGAACGAATAAAACTAAAATCAGGCTTACTTTAATGTGCTGGATGGAATATAATGTTATATATTTTCTAGCACAAGTATAAACTTTAGCTCTATACATCAAAGAGGCCATACACTTGTCAAAAGTTATCATTATAATAACACAACAGATGTGCTTAAGAAATAAAACAGAAACTGAATTTATGATTACCTGTAAAACCTTATCTTGAATACCTAGAATTATGCAACTGAAACAGAAAATTTCATGAATATTATCACATAACTTGAGAGCAAATTTAAAAGCAGAGGTAAAAGTGAAATATAAATATGCAAATGTATTTATGAGTTTGAGCAAATTTGTGCTAAAGAAGTCAGATTCATAACTAACCGTGAAATTTCCTAGTAAACATAGAAGTTGATGTTTGTTGATTCTATTTTTTATTAACTGTCTAAGCACTTATCTGCAGAAAGCTTATGAAAACGTAGAGAGAAAATATATGAAGACTTTACAAGAGACCTTTACTTAACCACATTTGTTAATTCTTGTGTTCAGCTAATTTAATATATCAGAGGAAAATTATTTTATTATTAAAAGCATTAAATTCTTAATGTATACAAGAAGAAAAAAGTTAAATGTGTCATAATTTTTTTCTGTGTTCTAGCATCTAGAGTTTATTATCTTTTGTTAAGTGAGTTTTAAGAGTTAAGTCAAATGGGTTAAGGAATACAGACTATGTAGATCATATTTTTATGCAATCTTAACTTCTCCATTACATTGAGAAGATATCCTTTTCTATTATCTATTATTTTTAACTCCTGCCCCATAGAAAATGTTTTTCATCATTTTCTATGCTTTAAGTAATATTCTCAGGATTAAGAAATACTTCTACCCATGCCTCAATCCTTCATTAAAATTTAATACAGACAAATGTATGAATTAATTTACATTACTAGATTGCTATTATATAACATCTGTAAACTTTAAGGGTTAATTTTATTTTTTTGAATTCAATTTGAAAATATATTAACACATTTTTAATAATCTTACACAATTTAAATGAAATTCAAAAAATGCTAATTTTATTCATTAAAATGTAATACAGACAAATGTATGAATTATTAGGGGTTAACTTTGTTTTTTTGAATTCAATTTGAAAATATATTAACACATTTTTAATAATCTTACACAATTTAAATGAAATTCAAAAAATGCTAATTTTATTCATTAAAATGTAATACAGACAAATGTATGAATTATTAGGGGTTAACTTTGTTTTTTTGAATTCAATTTGAAAATATATTAACACATTTTTAATAATCTTACACAATTTAAATGAAATTCAAAAAGAAAAAATACTAATTTTATTCCAGTATGTTATGCAATGTCCTAAGGGCTTTTAGATCACAGAATTCTTACAACAGCTCTCTGAAGCGGGTACAATTATGAATACAGATTGAATATTAATGCACAGAGACAATATGTAAAATTTCCAAGGACACATATTTGGTAAATGGAGGAACTTGGTTTCAAACTTGAGACTGTACTCTTAGCAGCTGTATAGTCTCTTAATAATAAAAGCTAGGTTTGGAAAATTTTCCTGTAGTACAGGCATCAGCACATTTTTTTTTTCCTTCTAAAGAGGCTGATAGTAAATATTTTAGGCTTTGTGGGTTAATGGTCTCTGTAACAACTATTCAACTCTGCGGTTGTAACATGAAAACAGTCATGGAAAATACAAAAATGAATTGGCATGGTTGTGTTCCAATAAAACTTTATGGTCACTGAAGTCTAAATTTTATATAATTTTTACATATCACAGAATATTATTTTTGTTTGATTTTTTTACCCAACTGATATGGTTTGGCTGTTTCCCCATTCAAAATCTCATCTTGAATTATAATCCCCATAATCCCCACGTGTCGTGGGAGGGACCTGGTGGGATGTAATTGAATCAGGGGGTGGTTCCCCCATGCTGCTCTCGTGATAGTGAGTGAGTTCTTATGAGATCTGATGATGGTTTTATAAGCATCTGACATTTCCCCTGCTGTCACTCATTCTCTCTCCTGCCGCCCTGTAAAGAGGTGCCTTCCAACATGATTGTAAGTTTCTTGAAGCCTTCCCTGCCATGCAGAAGTGTGAGTCAATTAAATTTCCTTTATAAACTACCCAGTCTTGCAGTCTTGGGCGGTTCTTTATATTAATAACAGTATGAAAAGACTAATACAGCAACGATTTGAAAATGTAAAATTCATTCTTTGCTCATGGGTCATACAAAAACAAGCAGTTGGTCAATTTGGCCTGCAGACTTTCCTTTGCCATCACTTGCTGGAGTGTAATGTAGTGACAGCAAGAAACATGAAACATGGAAGAGAAAATTACATTAGATGAGGATGAATTTAGAAGCAATTGGCATATCTCTATTGAGATCAATAATTGTTAGGATGTGGCAATTTTTACTTTATAGTCAAAATATTTGCTTGCTTAGCATTCTTATTCTAATCACTCTTGAGGCAAGTCAGATAATCTTAAAATACAAATAGCTCATTTTTCATATTGAAACATTTGTACGTTTTCATGAGTTATATCATACATTCGTATAGAGGTATGAAACAACTGCAGACACATAAGAAACTGGGTATCAAAGGTGAATCCAAAGTTTTTTATGGCCATCAAACATTTCTTAGAATAGGAAGAATAAAAGCAGTATTATCATGCACTAAATGAAAGCACAGAGTTTAAAGATTTATTACTGAAGATTTACAATTGAAAGGCAGATGTGCTTATGCAAAAATCAAATAAAATGATTGGATAATCCAAAAAGCAAAACACTACTTTGGCAAAGCTGAAAAATTAAACATTGACTCATAAAAATCAGATAGTGAGGGAATAGTTTTGTACCTCTTGCCTCTTTCAAATGATGCAAGAAAATCTTTCAGGAATCTAACAGTAAATTCGACATCATTGGTGAAAATAATATTTGGAAATTATTATGTATTTTAATTTGAATATGCCCTTCTTTTCCTGTGAAAGACATAAAACAGTAAATAGCTGCTGATTTATTTAATTATAGAGTAGCTCAGTAAAACTATGTGAATATTGCTCTTAAGATGTTTAAAAATAAATATTTTTCTTGCTTTAAAAAATTTGGAGTTAATTACTTCTTGGCTTTTTGGCTAAGTTCAAGTGTAAAAAATTAGAATTCTATTTTGAGGACTTTTCAGAACTTTGCACTGTGGTATTTGAATCACAACTGCATTTAGAATATTGTGTAAAATCATTGCAGTGACAGCAACACAGACCTTTCTCCATTGTTTGGTTAATTGATACTTCATGTTAAAGTCTAAAAAGACAAGAAATTCACTGCTAGTTTCACGAAAATACTAATTAAATCTGATATACAGAATTAAATGTGCTAGATTCAATTCATAAAGCGAAATTCAGAAGAGATAGTCAATTGTTAAAATGAGAAAAAAATGATAGTAAAGTAATAGCTCTGAAATCCATTAAAAAAGTTATCTTGGTCCTGGTGCAGTGGCTCATGCCTGTAATCCCAGCACTTTCGGAGTCCGAGGTGAGCGGATGATAAGGTCAAGAGATCAAGACCTTGCTGGCAAACATGGTGAAACCCCGTCTCAACTAAAAATACAAAAATTATCTGGGCATGGTGGCATGTGCCTGTAGTCCCAGCTACTCAGGAGGCTGAGGCAGGAGAATCACTTGAACCCGGGAGGTAGAGGTTGCAGTGAGCTGAGATTGCACCACTGCACTCCAGCCTGGTGACAGAGCGAGATTCTGTCTCAAAAAAAATCATATCGGAGAAAGAAAGGATGTTGTTGATACCTATCTCTATGTTCTCCAGTCTCTGTTTTTACCCAGGAAAAGCGTGGTAGTGGCTAATCATAATGGAGGACTGAATACGAATGGCATCCAATTTGACAACCTGGGTCCAAACTGACTCAGCAGAGAACAACACAACAAAGTATCTAAGGGCTACAAACTTCACTGAGAACCAACACCTTCTGTCTGGGTGACTGCTTGTCCTGATAGGGGAAGGTCAAAATCTGATTTCTCTGCATTTTCTTGCTGAAGTTGTGGTGATCCTACATCAATACCTATCTCCTTGCCTTAACCATTTCTGAGCAAATAGCCATACCAGATAGAAGTATCTTGTTCAAAGATGAATTGGAAGCAAAAAATTTTCAACACTGAGGATGTACACAGATACTATAGAAAAGGGAGGAGTAATCAACACAATAAACAAAATTCAGATGAATAATACACTTCAGAAAAAATGTAATTCAGCCCAGGTAACAAAGAAAATTACACAAATACAGACAAATTTAAATAAAATTTAATTTTTTAAAATAAAATTTTAAAGTAGATTAACAGGGTGATTTGTAAATAAATATAGAATCTATAGACTTTGGAAAAGGTATCTGCAGCAATAGAAAAATTGTCAAAGATTTATGGCTAACAGATTGCAGAACTGTATGATGTCTTTTGAATGTCTCCAAATAGGCCAAAACAAAACAAAAACAACCAAAATATTTTAACAGTGGCTTCCTCTGGGGTGTAGGATTAGCAGATCTGAAGTAATTCGCTTGAAACATAATTATATTGGTGTTACTTGGATTTTTCACAATGAAAATGCATGATTTTATAGTAAATTTACAGGGGAAGAACACTTGAGACATGGCAATAAATACATTTATTTGGATTGTATCTATTGTCTCTCCTTTCACGTGTCTGCATTTGAGCATAACAATGACAAAATGACTTTGGTAATCTCTACCTTTAGTTTTATTCTGTCTCAGTGCTTTGCAACTAAGAAAACTGGAAAGTTAGCTGATCTAGATGGGATCATCAGCACAGGGGCTCACCAACTCTTCTCGCTTTTTCCATGTTCATCACGGAAGTCCATTCCCCATTCAACTTCTTGGCTCTCCTTTCTGACCATTAGGCATCTGCTCTACTTCTGTTTAAGTTTTTTAAAATTATGGTGTCTTTATTTCTAGCATATTTAGAGAAGCAGCAGATAATAAATATTGTGAGCTCTACAGCCAGAATTCCTGGGTTTGAATCCTGGCTTCACCACACAGTAGATGGCTATTTTAGTACCTTAGGTTTTATCTATAAAATGTGAAGATAAGGACCATACCTACCTCATTAACCTCAAATTGTGTTGATATTGAGTGGTATATGCAAAGTGCTGGGAATAGTGTCTCATACTTTGTATTTGCTCAAAAATGCTATCTAGCCATTCTATCTTTATGTCAAGATATCATCTTTCTCTTCATCATCATTATTATTCAATGAGTTATTAGAAGAAGCAAAAATTCCTTTTTTTCTGTATGAATAACCAGTAAAATCTTCCATCATGTTTAGTGGTTGTTGAAGCAAATCTTACTGTAACTCTGAAAGAAAAAGAAATCTCTCCTTACAATCTTTTGTCAGTGTTCCCTACTTGCAACATATCTGTGAAATGTAGATTTACAGACATTGTTGTGAGCCTAACATATCTTTCTAAAGCAATACCTTTATTCAACCTATTCTAACTTAATCACTTTATTTATTAATTTACATTTTTAAATCCCAACTTTCTATGGGTGTCATAGTTTTCTTCCCAAATAATTAATACTTGATTTCTCCTGTATGTCACCTGTAAGTTCTTCCATGTTTTTAAAATTTCAGGAAAACCAAGTGAAATAGACACTAAGCTAAAATTAATCTAGCTTAATCATATTAGACAAAAAAACTTTACTAGAATATTGCACATTGGCTTCCTCTAAAAGTAAACCCCCCAAAAGAAAAAATAAAACCATAAGCTTTAGTGCTAATTCATTTATTCATCCACTGATCTGAAACTATTTATGGAGAATATTAATTATCAGAGAAAGTTGATGTGTGGTTAATTATGTAATCTTTTGTTTCCTTGTTTGTTAAAAAGTAGAGTAGTGATAATATTATCCTGAAAATTTAAAAAGTAATGTAATTCCAATTAAACTAAATGATGCAATGAGAAATCACTCAACTTGGTGCCTGAGATATATCAAATGTTCAATAATCTTCTCCCAGAGAATTGGCCCACACAACACATTCACCTAAAACAGCCACACTGCCTACAAAGTACAAAGCCAGGTGAACAACATAGCAGTCCCAAAACAAGAGTATTCAAGCCAAAAATCAACTGTGGCAATACAAAATAGTGTTGCTTATTTCCTTTCAGGTCCAAGAAATCTAGCTTGAAAATATCTACCTCCCATAGAGTAGCTTTTTGGTCTTTGCCCTATCCGGCTGCCTATCCAAATCCTATTTCCTGCCAATTTTATTTCAAGATTGACATTCTTCCAGGTGCTATTGCTGCCAATTCTGCATCTTACCTGATTTCCATCATAGGACTGTAAAGACAGTTTATAAGAAAGACACCTCTTCATTGCCTGTTGTGACAATGAATCTGCCCCTGTGATCACCTTGGTTTTCCCTTCCTGTATGTGGGATCTGACTCTACTTTCAGATTGTCCTGTCTTGTTTTTGGATATAGAGCTCCTGAGATTAATGCCATAAGACCTTCCCTCCTAAATTATGCAGGGTAGTTTTTTTTGTTATATATATGCCCATAGAATGATTGTAACTTTGCAGACCTTTAGTAAGCAAAAATTAATTTTCAAGTACTATGCTAAGTATTAGAGACATAAGAATATTAAAGATGGCTCATTGTCTTCAAAAGCTTTAGCAAATAAAATATTCTTAGTAATTTTTCTGACTATCTTTTATTGTTGTTCATATCCCTAAGAGAACAGAGATCCAGAATCTGAAACTCTAAATCTCATTTGACCAACTTGCTCTACCAAGTTTCTTAGCATAGAGGTGCAGGGGATGTTCCAGGCAAATAACTCCTACAAGGTAATAATAAAAGTGACAACCAACATTTGTTGAGTGTATAATTACCAGAGGTGTTTTACATATGCTGATTCATTTATTCCACATAGCAATCATAGATGTATTCTGCCATAATTACATCTATTTAGCAGTGAAGAAATGTAAGCACAGAAAAATTAACCCAGATCACATAGCTAGTAAATTTGAGCCATGTTTTCAACTTAACTCTTTAGTTCTGAAAAACATGTATGCATGTGTATACATATATACATACACACACATACACAGATATACGTATACAATCATGAGTGATTAATAGATATAAATATAGATAGATATGGAGATACTGCTAGACTACTGCAATGCTAGAATATTAATCTAATAGAATATTGCATTATTATTTTGACATTCAAGTGCTATAAATTGAATCACATAATACACCCATTCCAATAAATATATGAGGTTTGATTTCAAAGAATCTTTAAATTATATAGTGCAAATATTTCCTTGACACATTACTGAAAGACCAATAACATGCAAAGGCCAATACATGGCACATATATACTCACATCCACTAAATTATCTCTCTGAGTTTATACTTTTGGTGTCCAAATTATATTATTATTCCATGGCCTACTTATATTCATACTTATAATTAGACTTCTCCAATCAAATATCAGACTTCATCCAAGAATGTAGGTTTCCTAAAATGCTTGATGGTGTTGCAAATTTAAATATGATTTTGTTCATCCTGTGAGCCATACATTTTGTTGATGTGACTGATGTTATATTTTCAGGTACGTATGCCTCACCCAATAAACTGGGAGGGAAAGAATTTTATAAACACCACGGCATTGACACTGGAAGGGAATAGTTTCAGAAGATAATGGTTGGTATATTTAGTGCAGGAATTGTTTCAGAATATAAGGCACATGTAGTTATAAATAGATTACTATAATATGTGGAACAGCTTTTTATATTTTCTTTACGTTCTCTTATTACTAGAAATTTATTACATTTAAACTGCTACAGGTTCCCATTTTGGAGCAGCAATGGTTTAAACTTGATCAGTGTCAAGGTTTGTATGTTACTTCTTATAGAGTTTTTTTAGTGTTAGCCAAAGTAGTCCAACATCTATGTGCTTACACATTCTGTGTATTAGCCCTGCTAATGTAGTGCATTGATTTGAATCCTAGCTACACTGAAAGTCCTGAATTCTTGAACTTTAGAAGAAATCAGAGATACCTAACCTTCATTTTCTGTAAGCTCTAGAAAATGAGTAGTGGCAAATATATATATATTTCCTCTCAAGCAGCCATTTCTTCAGCTCATCTTTCTTCCTGTCTCCATTAATGAGCTTTCTATGCCTGGATGATTTTGAACGAGTTAAAAATCTTATTGGATATAAAGAAGCTCATCTAGCCTGAACTGTAATGTGGGAGTGCGGCACTTCGAATGTGAAAAGTACCTAGGAATAATTGGGAATTTATAAAGCTATGGGAAATAAGACCTTTTGTATATAAAAATAACTTGAGCAATTAAGGTTCAGCATCACCTATATATTGACTGCTAAATAACAATGAGTATTACAGCAATAATTACCACACCGTAGTGTGTCTATGACAATCATTCAGGATAAACAGAGATTCTTAAGGCATCAGATGATTCTGATTGACACAATTATTAGGACCCACATTTTAAGAATTAGTTTATTAGAAGACTGCTCTCCACAGGAGAAAGTCTTTAAAATCCAAAAATATGGAACATGTTAACAAATCAAGACAGAGATGGAAATCAATGTGAACTCTCTTTCTGAAAAAGTGTAATGAATGGGAGCCTTTAAATACCAGCCTTTAGTGGTACAACACTATAATATGTAGCTAATTGTGGAAATGCACTCTTTAGCTCATCCTTGTCAGAAAAAAATTGCACATAGGATTTCATTCCTGGCCTTTTAAAAATTTTACAACTGACCTGATTTCTAAATATGTGGCTAATTTTACAATTGTTACTTAGGAATAAAACTTGCTCCTTTCTTTAGACTTACTCCAATGTTGGGCAATGTGGTTAAGTTTAGTCGAGATGTTAGTTATCACTTGTTGAAGTGGAATTATCATACTGTAGGTTGGCAAAAATATGGATTTTCCTGCTTTCAATTACATATCTCATTTCTTCAATCTCAGCGAGGAAAATTGAACAGCTAGTAGATATTATAGAGGCATCAAGAAATCCACTTTGCATTCAACTTTAGCTACAAGATTTGATGATTCTTCTATTGTTACTTAACCTTAGAGTTTATAGGATATTTTCATGTGATTGGTAGGGCATGTCATAGTGACTAAAACATTTAAATAATTGCATATTTTAAGATACCTAACGCTGTAAATAGATACTTTGATATATAATTTTATGACTACTTTGTATGGCTTAAGTCCCCT
Source organism: Homo sapiens (assembly GCF_000001405.40). Classification (NCBI taxonomy): domain Eukaryota; kingdom Metazoa; phylum Chordata; class Mammalia; order Primates; family Hominidae; genus Homo; species Homo sapiens. The sequence goes on along the minus strand of NC_000004.12, from coordinate 137,925,126 downwards.
TTAATAAGATAATGAGCCTTTTCTGAACATTCTTCATGTTTTATTTCTAATTTGAAAAGCTCCTGAAGCATCTGCTCTAGATATTATATCCAAGAGACTGTCCTTTACATACAGTAATGAAAAGTCATCTGTCTCAGTTTTATAATAATTAGAATTGTACTCTCCAAGAAAGAAATTTAAGATTTTCTCAGAATTAAAAAATATGATCTCTTTTACAACGAATTTTTGGATATAAGATTATCTCTGCCTACATGGGAGGAAGAAATATTTCAAAAAATTATCCTGATTTTCTTTTTAGCTATTAATGTATCTCTCCTATATTTTCTGGGTTAGAATGATAGGAAAGTTACAAGGAAGGAAACACTATTGAAAACACTCTCTTCTGAATATAATGAAGTTAACAAAAGCTCATGTTTATTATATTTTTAAACATTATTGCACTTGTCTTATGTATTGAACTTTGTAACAAGTCCCAAATCAGGAGACACATATATATGTGATTTAATAATTTATTCACATAGAAATAATAACAATACATATTAAAAACTCCTATTTTGTGGACTGTATTCAGTTATCTTATATATATGTTGAACTAATTAGTCACATAAGAATAAACCCTGGTGTTTGTGGCTGAAGATGCAGGACTCAGAGATGTTACAGAGTGAGCAGGAAGAGAAGAGCTGGATAACAGGATAAGTTCTGCTCACTGAAAAGAAGGGCAGCAATTCTATAAAAGCAACTAGCTGTCAAAATTAGACTTGATGAACATAACTGAGCAATATGAATTCCAGTGATCAAGTGGTATGGTAAACTGCTGAGGTCAATTACACAGATAGGATTTAAGGCTTAATCTGGAAGATGAAGAATAACTGTGAAGTCACTGTAAGGAAGAATGAAAACACAGGGGAGTAATTTAGTCTGAAGGTTTACCTATTAACAGAGTATGGCAGGGAGCATGGGAGAAAAGCCCAGCCTTTGAAGGAAAGAGTAATGGAGGAAAGCTCTTCCTGATTCCTGTAAGACTGGCCATTCTTTTGTAAACACATTTAAAATTTGTTTTTTTTCTTTTGATATATTTCAAAGTTACCTATCTGTTCATATTTTCGATTTGATTTTTTAGAGTCCTTTAGATGGTATTTCTATGTCCGTTTGTAGATGTGGTAAATATATTCTCCCTGTACATGGATTGACTCTCTATTTGCTTACGCTGACTTGGTTGTTCAGAGCATTTTAATTTTAACTTTAAAATAGTCAATGTGCTAGAAGAAAAAACTTAGCTGAATTAAACTTAAAAGAGATTAATTGAGGAAAGAACGATTCATGAATTGGGCAGCCTCCTGAGTCAGAGTAGGCTCAGAAACTCCAGTGCAGCCCTGTAGTGGAAGATTTATGGGCAGAAAAAGAAAGTGATGTACAAAAAACGGAAGTGAGGTACAGAAACTGCCATATTGGTTACAGCTTTGCATATGCCTTATTTGTACACAGTTTGAACATTTGGTCACCTTTGATTGGCCAAAACTTGGTGATTAGCACAAAAGTAGGCCACAGTCTGTTTACAACTCCCTTTGGGTTATAGTTCATGATGTGCAGAGAAACCTTTAGGCTGAACTTAAGATATGTAAAGAGGCCGTTTAGGCTAAACTTGATTTAACAGTTCTTCCCTTTTGGTCATCCTCTTAAGTTTTAGAGATTGACCAAGACTTTAGTTATTAATGTCACTATCACCATCTTAAATGTACTTATTTGGTTTTGAAAGCCACTGACAAATAGCAGAACAGTGGGTTTGGTAAGGTGGGAACAAGGACTTCAGGATATTTTTTTGTAAGGATTAGAGTAGAGGGTACCTCCCTATGCTGGAATGTCCTGTTTATCAGAGAAAAAACAACCCTGTTCTAGTATCTGTGTATTTCTGTAAAGTTTTAGTTTGATTATGTCACATTTAGCATAACTGATTCTGTTTTGGTTTGGTCTGGTCTACAGAGGCCTAGTACATAAGCTCAGTCCAAAACAATGGGCACCCATGTTTGTTTTAAATTTTTCCCCTTTTAGTCAGGTTCTCAGTTAGGTGAGGGTATGACCAAAACTTAGGGCCTTAGTCTCAGTTACCATCATTTTGGGTTTCTGGTCTCAGTACATCATTCATTGGTTATGGTGCCGTCATGGTCACACATTTCTTTCAGCTCATGTCATTCCAGTTGAGGAGAGACTATTTGATCATTTGATATTCTAGAGACAGCTGCATGCAAACATTTAAAACTTTTGAGAGAATACGGTGCACCAGAGAGACTACTGTTATGACTATCAGGAGGATAATACCAAGAGTTTGGAGTGTGTTCCTTAGCCAGGGTACCCATAAACCAAACCACGTAAAATCAAATAGATCAAAGAATGAGCTAGATAAACAGTCTACTCACTTTAACCAAACAGTCTATCAATTCCCTACAACTGAATCTCTAAAATACATGTTAAATTCCTCCATGAGCAACAAGAAGTGCCAGCAGCTGCACAGATAATTTCCTGTTTAGCCAGTAAGTAATCCAGGGCAATTCAATTATTTAGCACAACTTTTACAAGATAATTTAGTCTGTTGTGCAACCATAGCTTTACAGTAGAATCTGTTATACAGCATATCATGGGGAATACATTTCTAATCATTACCTCATTTACTCCAAATAATGGGAAAAAGGACCTAATAAATGATGCCCTTTTAGAAGAGTGAAGACCTCCTGGCAATGTTCTTTTTAACCCAAGGTGTAGGTTAAGAGGAGTGGACCAATGTTCTGTTCCCGACTGATTAGGAGGCAATGTATGTACCATTAAAATTTCTCTTGCACTTTGGGCTTTCATCTTTAATCTATCAAAGTGTAAGCTTATCCTTGTATAAGGCTGTCTGCAAAATCCTTCACAAATAGGCCAGGCGCAGTGGTTCATGCCTGTAATCCCAGCACTTTGGGAGGCTGAGGCAGGCGGATCACGAGGTCAGGAGTCTGAGACCAGCCTGACCAACATAGTGAAACTACGTCTCTACTAAAAATACAAAAATTAGCCAGGCATGGTGGTGCATGCCTGTAGTCCCAATTACTTAGGAGACTGAGGCAGGAGAATTGCTTGAACCCAGGAGTCAGAGGTTGTGGTGAGCTGAGATCATGCCACGCACTCCAGCCTGGGCAACAGGGTGAGACTGTCTCAAAAAAAAAAAAAAAAAATCCTGCCAGGCGCAGTGGCTCACGCCTGTAATCCCAGCACTTTGGGAGGCCGAGGCAGGTGGATCACGAGGTCAGTAGATCGAGACCTTCCTGGCTAACACAGTGAAACCCTGTCTCTACTAAAAAAAATACAAAAAATTAGCGGGGCATGGTGGCGGGCACCTGTAGTCCCAGCTACTTGGGAGGCTGAGGCAGGAGAATGGTGTGAACCCAGGAGGCGGAGCATGCAGTGAGCTGAGATTGTGCCACTGCACTCTAGCCTGGGCGACAGAGTGAGACACAGTCTCAAAAAAAAAAAATCCTTCACAAATTAAAGTATATCTCATGAGTGCACACAACAGACCTGCTTTTCACCTCTGTTGTTCGTAGAGGCATAAGCAAGGGAAAAAAATGGAAAGATAAGAGTATCATGACAGTAGAGAAGTCTTGGTCCCTACCGAAGTGTGAAACAAAAACAAAGGGGTAGAACACAAAAATAACTATGAAATTCCAAAAGCCAAATTTTACTCCTCCTGCCATATTGCCATTTACTACCAGTTTCTTTCTGAGCCAGTCATATGTGAGAGGTCTCTAACTGGATCCAAGCCAGTTAATTATCAGATCCAATCTGATCCTGGACCCAGTCCTTCTACTGTTACGACTTCCAAATCCAGTTTGGATCAGAACTTTCCTCAAAGAATCTCAGAAAGCTCAAAACACAAATCTGCAGAGCTTCAGAATCCAAGAGAGAACTTAGAGCGATCCCCATTTGGTCTGAGACTATAATGGACACAGTGAGCCCTGCAGGTACCTCAGTTGGGCACTCAGCACTCATGGGGATTGTTAGAAACCCTACCTCGGATCCCACTTCTGACACCGTCTGTTAAAAGAAAGACTTTAACCGAATTAAATTAAAAGAGTTTAATTGAGCAAAGAACGATTTGTGAATCAGGCAGCCTCCTGAGCAAGAGTAGGGTCAGAGACTCCAGCACAGCTACCTGGTAGAAGATTTATGGGCAGGAAAAGGAAAGCGATGAAAGAAAATGGAAGTAAGGTACAGAAATAGTCAGAATGGTTATAGTTCGGCATTTGCCTTATTTAAAGAGGTTTGAACAGTTGGCCACATTTGATTGGCCAAAAATTGGTGATTAGCACAAGAGTAGGCTACAGTCTGTTTACATTTCATTTATGCGCTAGTTCACAATGTCCAGAGAAACACTTAGGCTGAACTCACAGCAGCTTAAGGCTAAACTTGATTTAACAAATGTATTAAATGTTATGGCTTATCCTTTTCGATTCTTGCCTAAGAAGTTTTTCCCTGTCTTACATTCAGGAAGATTTTCTACTATATTTTCTACAGTGTGAATATTTTGCAATAATTATTTATGTAGAATTTTATTGCAATTTTTTGTGCATATGCAAGTGTGTATTTGTGTGTGTGTAGTGTATATGTCAAATTTTATTTTATTTTAAAATATTAATAAATTTTTCCAGTACAAATTCTCAAGTAACTCAATATTTTTTCAAAGATTTGTAAAATCCTTCCTATCATAAATCTACAGCTCTGTCCCTGCTGGGTCCATCTTTAATTCCTTATCCTTTTCTATTGTTTTTTTGTTTGTCCCTCTCCTGTCCAAATCCTTAGCTTCTCATGTTCATTTCCATTCTCTTTACATTCCCTATATAGAATGCCACATTTTTAAATGAATTCATTCTATTATTTTTATTTTTAAATAACTATGTAAATGTTATTTAACTGCTGATCCAAATGGGGTACTACACTAACATCGCATTTCTTACACTATCCCTTAACCCTTTCTCTGGCTGAGTACCCCATGGGTTTTCTCTTTCTTCATTTGCTTTGCAGTTGTTAAATCTCTGGCTAATTTGGGGTATTCTCTCATCTCTCTGAAAATCACCTCTCAATCAAATATATCTCATATTCTTTATTCTTTGCCCTGGAAAGTGAAGCAGTGTCTTTGTTATTTTGTCTTGAGAAAGTCAAACCAAAGAGTAGATAAATAAATCTGGAAAGTACAAGGCAAGAAGAGCAGAAGAGAATGAGGGCATAAAGTGACAATATGTGTTAGGAGGATTTTCAGCTTAAGTAAGACACTAGCCAAATAAAATTGACAGAAGTCACAGGATTATTTATTTTTTTCTTTAACTGAAATTAAGCTTTCCCTGAGATTTTTGTGCACTCATTCAACTTATTAAGGACCAGGCTCTACCTTTCTTCTCTGCCATCCTTAGTGCATTAGTCACTTCTCCAACAACATTAGCCATAGCTTTAAGCATAATTATGACACAGTAATCCTAAGCAGAGTGCAAGGGTGGAAGACAGATCAATAAAAAATATTGGGGTTTCTTGTGTGTGTATGTGCACTCTCGTTTTTATCAGGGAGTCAAGTATTCCCAGATTCCACCCTTCCCCCCAAAGTAGACTTCCCATGACATTTCATTGTCTAGAGTTATACATGTGATCTTCAACCAACTGTTGACAAAGGGGAATGTCATTCCCATGGTTGGCGAGCAAAATTGGACTCTCTCTCTCTCTAAAGCAGAAAGAAACCCTCACATTATCTGCACAAATTGTTGTCTGAATAATAATAATAATAACTGTTATTGAGCATCTACTCTAGTAGGCTCTATTATAAGCACTGCATGTGTACTTACTCATTTAATCGTCGTCAACTCTGTGATGTCATGACTATTATTTCCCCAATTTTCCAGGTAAAGACAATATCAGAATTCTGTAAACCAAGCAAGAAAGGGAAAAACAGCTGCCATACAGATGGCCAATAGTGTCTGCATCGTTGATAGAATACGAATTAGATGAGGAAATACATTATATCTATCAAATAAATTTACTTAAAGATTTTCAAGAAAGGAATTATAAATAATGAAATAACTATTTTGAAAGAATGGGGGAGGAGAAGAAGAGGGAGAGAGAAGATAAAGAAGTTTATAGTTGAGCTATAGACTCATTTTTTACATTAAAAAGTCTATAGAAAATGCTATCAATTGACTAAGAATTATCTGTAAGAGAATACATTTTTAGAGAAAATTAGGTTTCAGGAAAAGGATTTAAGAGCGTTCAGACTGTTTTTTTTCCTGCAAGGAGCAGTACAAAATATAAAAATAAATAGGAAAGAGACAGTTGATTTTTATGTCAAATAAATATGTCCCATTTTTTAAAAAAACTAATGTGCATGCATTATTTGATAAAAACTTAGAACATTTTGTTCATGTTTCCACAAGGTCTTCCATTAAGATAGAAGAATAAGCATCATTTTAATAGGTGTTTTATTTCCTACTCAGGTATATTAGAAAAGAAATCTATCCATTTTAAAATCCATTCCTTCCCATTTTAGTTTCTTTGAAGCATTTAGCAGTATCTCAGAAATTGACATGCCACATTTACATTGTAATTCAGTGAGAACTCCACTATAACTTGACTTTGAAATAAGCCCTATTATGTTCCCCAAATACTGATTCTCAAGCTAACTGTGATGTTGGCAATGAAACACTTACCTCGATTCCTCTCTCACTTTGTTATTTTCTGGCTTCCTCACTCTAGGTCTTTCTCTACACACACACACACACACACACACACACACACACACACACACACACACCACACACATACAAAAAAACCCCCACATTTTCCTAAGTGATATAATTCTTTTACTTAGTAGACCTTTCAATTTTCTAAAGTGTTTTTTAAACCTGACTTGAAAATTGAAAAGATCATTGGAGCCTCCATGTAGTACTCATACCTCTGCATTTAACCCTGCACAGCCATCTTCTAATGTTTTCAACAAAGTCACAGCCACCCATGGGTTTCATCACATCAGAGTACTTTTAAAGAAGCATACGTGTGAAACAAAACATTCAGTGGGACTTTGAAGGTGTTTCTAAATTGGCATCAAGTGCTGACCCCTGAGGACCAAGAAGCCTCAGGTGCCTCAGTTTTAAAAACACCTTCACTTTTTTGGTTGGTAGGCTATTAATTATTATCTCAATTTCAGAACCTGTTATTGGTCTATTCAGGGATTCAACTTCTTCCTGGTTTAGTCTTGGGAGGGTGTATGTGTCCAGGAATTTATCCATTTCCTCTAGATTTTCTAGTTTACTTGCGTAGAGGTGTTTATAGTATTCTCTGATGGTAGTTTGTTTTTCTGTGGGAGCAGTGGTGATATCCTGTTTATCATTTTTGATTGCATCTATTTGATTCTTCTCTCTTTTCTTCTATATCAGTCTTGCTTGTGGTCTATCAATTTTGTTGATCTTTAAAAAAAACAGCTCCTGGATTCACTGATTTTTTGAAGGGTTTTTTTGTGTCTCTATCTCCTTCAGTTCTGCTCTGATCTTAGTTACTTCTTGCCTTCTGCTAGCTTTTGAATGTGTTTGCTCTTGCTTCTCTGGTTCTTTTAATTGTGATGTTAGGGTGTCAATTTTAGATCTTTCCTGCTTTCTCTTATGGGCATTTAGTGCTATAAATTTCCTTCTACACACTGCTTTAAATGTGTCCCAGAGATTCTGGTATGTTGTGTCTTTGTTCTCATTGGTTTCAAATAACATCTTTATTTCTGCCTTCATTTCGTTATGTACCCAGTAGTCATTCAGGAGCAGGTTGTTCAGTTTCCATGTAGTTGAGCGGTTTTGAGTGAATTTCTTAATCCTGAGTTCTAGTTTGATTGCACTGTGGTCTGAGAGACAGTTTTGTTTTGTTTTGTTTTGTTTTTTGAGACGGAGTCTCACTCTTTCACCCAGGCTGGACTGCAGTGGCGCTATCTCGGCTAACTGCAAGCTCTGTCTCCCGGCTTCCCGCCATTCTCCTGCCTCAGCCTCCTGAATAGCTGGGACTACAGGTGCCCGCCACCACACCTGGCTAATTTTTTGTATTTTTAGTAGAGATGGGGTTTAACCATGTTAGCCAGATGGTCTCGGTCCCCTGACCTTGTGATCCGCCTGCCTCGGCCTCCCAAAGTGCTGGGATTACAGGCATGAGCCACTGTGCCCAGCCGAGACAGTTTGTTATAATTTCTGTTCTTTTACATTTGCTGAGGAGCGTTTTGCTTCCAACTATGTGGTCAATTTTGGAATAAAGTGCGATGTGGTGCTGAGAAGAATGTATATTCTGTTGATTTGGGGTGGAGAGTTCTGTAGATGTCTATTAGGTCTGCTTGGTGCAGAGCTGAGTTCAATTCCTGAATATCCTTGTTAACTTTCTGTCTCGTTGATCTGTCTAATGTTGAGAGTGGGGTGTTAAAGTCTCCCATTGTTATTGTGTGGGAGTCTATGTCTCTTTGTAGGTCTCTAAGGACCTCCTTTATTAATCGGGTGCTCCTGTATTGGGTGCATATATATTTAGGATAGTTAGCTCTTCCTGTTGAATTAATCCCTTTACCATTATGTAATGGCCTTCTTTGTCTCTTTTGATTTTTGTTGGTTTAAAGTCTGTTTTATCAGAGACTAGGATTGCAACCCCTGCTTTTTTTGTTTTCCATTTGCTTGGTAGATCTTCCTCCATCCCTTTATTTTAAGCCTATGTGTGTCTCTGCACGTGAGATGGGTCTCCTGAACACAGCACACTGATGGGTCTTGACTCTTTATCCAATTTGCCAGTCTGTGTCTTTTAATTGGAGCATTAGCCCATTTACATTTAAGGTTAATATTGTTATGTGTGAATTTGATCCTGTCATTATGATGTTAGCTGGTTATTTTGCTCGTTAGTTGATGCAGTTTCTTCCTAGCATTGATGGTCTTTACAATTTGGCATGTTTTTGCAGTGGCTGGTACCAGTGTTCCTTTCCATGTTTAGTGCTTCCTTCAGGAACTCTTTTAGGGCAGGCATGGTGGTGACAAAATCTCTCAGCATTTGCTTGTCTGTAAAGGATTTTATTTCTCCTTCACTTATGAAGCTTAGTTTGGCTGGATATGAAATTCTGGGTTGAAAATTCTTTTCTTTAAGAATGTTGAATATTGGCCCCCACTCTTGTCTGGCTTGTAGAGTTTCTGCCAAAAGATCCGCTGTTAGTCTGAAGGGCTTCCCTTTGTGGGTAACCCAACCTTTCTTTCTGGCTGCCCTTAACATTTTTTCCTTCATTTCAACTTTGGTGAATCTGACAATTATGTGTCTTGGAGTTGCTCTTCTTGAGGAGTATCTTTGTGGCGTTCTCTGTATTTCCTGAATTTGAATATTAGCCTGCCTTGCTAGATTGGGGAAATTCTCCTGGATAATATCCTGCAGAGTGTTTTCCAACTTGATTCCATTCTCCCTGTCACTTTCAGGTAAATCAAAAGTCCAGGACCAGACGGATTCACAGCCAAATTCTACCAGAGGTACAAGGAGGAGTTGGTACCATTCCTTCTAAAACTATTACAATCAATAGAAAAAGAGGGAATCCTCCCTAACTCATTTTATGAGGACAGCATCATCCTGATACCAAAGCCTGGCAGAGACACAACCAAAAAAGAGAATTTTAGACCAAGATCCTTGATGAACATTGATGCAAAAATCCTCAGTAAAATACTGGCAAACCGAATCCAGCAGCACATCAAAAAGCTTATCCACCATGATCAAGTGGGCTTCATCCCTGGGATGCAAGGCTGGTTCAACATACGCAAATAAATAAATGTAATCCAGCATATAAACAGAACCAAAGACAAAAACCACATGATTATCTCAATAGATGCAGAAAAGGCCTTTGACAAAATTCAACAGCCCTTCATGCTAAAAACTCTCAATAAATGGGATGTATCTCAAAATAATAAGAGCTATTCATGACAAACCCACAGCCAATATCATACTGAATGGTCAAAAACTGGAAGCATTCCCTTTGAAAACTGGCACAAGACAGGGCTGCCTTCTCTCACCACTCCTATTCAATATAGTGTTGGAGGTTCTGGCCAGGGAAATCAGGCGGGAGAAAGAAATAAAGGGTATTCAATTATGAAAAGAGGAAGTCAAATTGTCCCTGTTTGCAGATGACATGATTGTATATTTAGAAAACCCCTTTGTCTCAGCCCAAAATCTCCTTAAGCTGTTAAGCAACTTCAGCAAAGTCTCAGGATATAAAGTCAATGTGCAAAAATCACAAGCATTCCAATACACCAATAACAGACTAACAGAGAGCCAAATCATGAGTGGACTCCCATTCACAATTGCTTCAAAGGGAATAAAACACCTAGGAATCCAACTTACAAGGGATGTGAAGGACCTCTTCAAGGAGAACTACAAACCACTACTCAACGAAATAAAAGAGAACACAAACAAATGGAAGAACATTCCATGCTTATGGATAGGAAGAATCAATATCATGAAAATTGTCATACTGCCCAAGGTAATTTATAGATTCAATGCCATCCCCATCAAGCTACCAATGACTTTCTTCACAGAATTGGAAAAAACTGCTTTGAAGTTCATATGGAACCAAAAAGGAGCCCGTATTGCCAAGACAATCTTAAGTCAAAAGAACAAAGCTGGAGGCATCACGCTACCTGACTTCAAACTATACTACAAGGCTACAGTAACCAAAACAGCATGGTACTGGTACCAAAACAGAGATAGAGACCAATGGAACAGAATAGAGCCCTCAGAAATAATACTACACATCTACAACCATCTGATCTTTGGCAGACCTGACAAACACAAGAAATGGGGAAAGGATTTCCTATTTAATAAATGGTGCTGGGAAAACTGGCTAGCCATATGTAGAAAGCTGAAACTGGATCCCTTCCTTACACCTTATACAAAAATTAATTCAAGATGGATTAAAGACTTAAATGTCAGACCTAAAACCATAAAAACCCTAGAAGAAAACCTAGGCAATACCATTCAGGACATAGGCATGGGCAAGGACTCCATGTCTAAAACACCAAAAGCAATGGCAACAAAAGCCAAAATTGACAAATGGGATCTAATTAAACTAAAGAGCTTCTGCACAGCAAAAGAAACTACCATCAGAGTGAACAGGCAACCTACAGAATGGGAGAAAAGTTTTGCAATCTACTCATCTGACAAAGGGCTAATATCCACAATCTACAAAGAACTCTAACAAATTTACAAGAAAAAAACAAACAACCCCATCAAAAAGTGGGTGAAGGATATGAACAGACACTTCTCAAAAGAAGACATTAATGCAGCCAACAGACACATGAAAAAATGCTCATCATCACTGGCCGTCAGAGAAATGCAAGTCAGAACCACAATGAGATAGCATCTCACACCAGTTAGAATGGTGATCATTAAAAAGTCAGGAAACAACAGGTGCTTAGAGGATGTGGAGAAATAGGAACACTTTAACACTGTTGGTGGGATGGTAAACTAGTTCAACCATTGTGGAAGAAGACAGTGTGGCGATTCCTCAAGGATCTAGAACTAGAAATATCATTTGACCCAGCCATCCCATTACTGGGTATATACCCAAAGGATTATAAATCATGCTGCTATAAAGACACATGCACACGTATGTTTATTGCGGCACTATTCACAATAGCAAAGACTTGGAACCAACCCAAATGTCCATCTATGATAGACTGGTTTAAGAAAATGTGGCACATATACACCATGGAATACTATGCAGCCATAAAAAAGGATGAGTTCATGTCCTTTGTAGGGACATGGATGAAGCTGGAAACCATCATTCTCAGCAAACTATCTCAAGGACAAAAAACCAAACACTGCACGTTCTCACTCATAGGTGGGAATTGAAAAATGAGAACACTTGGTCACAGGAAGGGGAACATCACACACCGGGGCCTGTCATGGGGTGGGGGGAGGGGGGAGGGATGGCATTAGGAGATATACCTAAATGAAGAGTTAATGGGTACAGCACAACAACATGGCACATGTATACATATGTAACAAACCTGCACATTGTGCACATGTACCCTAGACCTTAGAGTATAATAAAAAAAACAAAAAACACACCTTCCAACAATTGGAACCAGACAACGATCAAGGCTTAATGAAAGGGCAGAACTGGGTCAACCACAGGCAGCCACACTCACAACTGCCTTAGAAGTAGAACTCTAATGTCTAGGCAGCATAGCAGGATGTTCCAAACAAGGCACAGGAATGCCTCATGATAGAGCCAGCATTATATACCTGTTACATGGAGGTTATTGATACCCAGACAGTATTAGCCAAGACAGTGGCAATCAATAGAAGCGTCTATCAATCGCCAGCTGAGTTGAGAAAGTTGCCATTTCTGCCCTATCTTCCTCCTATTTTACTACATCAATGAGTGGAAGAATTATTGTAGGACCAGCCCAGGCATCAAATTTTCTGCTTTGAGTGCCAGAGTGGAAAGAAGAGTAAATAGCAGAACACACTGGCTTGTGCAAGTCTGGATGGTACTTTCCAGAGATAGGAAAGTAGGGAAGTGGAAGGGTGCACTTCAGTTTAAACTGCTCTCACTCTTAGTAAGTGAAATAATCATAATTTAATGAAGTACCTCATAAACTGTGGGCTATATTCCAATACAGGGCACTAGCATTTAATGATATACTGTTGATCATTTCTCTAGACACAAATTGATAAAGATAAGTTCAGTGGTTCAGATTGTTTCCCGAAATTGAGACTTCAAAAGAAATACTATATTTTAAGCTGCTGTTACCAAAAGTTGGGCATTTTCCTAAAATATAGTTTTATATTTATATAGGCAATATAATTTATCTTAAGCCCCTGACCCTAAAGAAATTTACCAAAGGATTATTTTCATAAAATCACACGCAAACACACATAAGCAAAACTTAAAAAGGAGTTAGACTGCATTACAAAAGATGAAACAGAGGAAGAGACTGAAAAATGGAGTTGTGAAGAGGGAAAAATGAGAGAATTGAGAATAAATTGATAGATGTATGGATTTAAGTGAAAACAATTGAGTTTTCAGATAGTCTGCATGTTTACTTATTTATTTTGGTTTATCAGGACGAAATTCCAGTCAACAAATTTGACATCCATATTTACGGTATCCATAGTTGTGACTGTCTCTAAAATTACAAGTTTCTTTATGCCTTAACTTCTATTGTGAATATGAGGAGTCCCTAGCCTTCCACTAATGTCAGATTAAAATGTACTTATCACCCTCCCAAATGGCAAACCAATTGCTTCTGCTCCCAGAGTATTTTCTGCTTGATCATATGAGCATGTTTTATACACAGTAATTATAATTATATAATTGTAGCATAAGATTCCATGTGTTCAAATCTCAGAAGTAGTGTTGAAAATATTCAGCCCAGTATGCATATGGTAAAAATCTAAAGAAGCTAAAATATGTTTTTGAAAAATATGGAAAAAGAATATAACAATCCATTATTTGCTAGACATATGCATTATAGGAAGCAGCTGTTTTTTCACAGAACATTTCATTTCTACCAATGCTATCTTCTTAATTCAGTTCATCTGTGTTTTTTAGCAGTGCCTGAAAACTTGCATTATTTCATCAGTGTTTCACAGATTCTTTGTTAAATTTAGCTAAATTCATGGTGTGTTTCTGAAAATATAACGTTACAGGAATCAAGTTGTATGGTCATTGAGTTTTTGTCACTGGGAAAAATAATCAATTGTTTAGCTTAACAGAAACTATAATGGCAAAGTTGATATGTTCTGTCATTTAAATAATTGAAAAAGAAGACAAAAAGTTAACAGCTCAAAGTTCAAGTAAGCTTTGGTGACTTTCCCTTTAAAGCAGCATTTCTTACCCTCATTGATAAATAATGTGCTCTGCATGTAAAAGCCATATAACCCACTTCCATGCCTCACTTGATTCAAGCCCTCCACTCCTTAATTAGGCATCTGTTACACAATGAAACTTGGTTTTCCTCCACATAATATTTGTCTCTTTACAAATGTAACTTGAATAATAACAACTTCTTTCTCATTAGAGATTAATTTGATGCCTAAAATGTCAAGAAGGAAGATTTAACATTTACATTTTATTAATTGTTAGGGTGTGGATATGACATTCTTACTACACAAAGCCACATATTTCACACAAAGCTACATATTTTTAAATACAATAATGAAAACCAAAAATCCCAATAATTTTGAAAACAGGAAGTACTGCATTAACAGCATCATGTGACATCATGGAGTCGGTTTCCGTGATTTTATTTTATATGTTATCATTTTTAGATAGACCAATTGACATTTATCATTGTTGTTTGCTTTGTCTATAAGTATGGGTATACATGGCCAGAATTTCTGTATTCCTTGAAGTAAAAGGACATTTTCTCCATTAGAAAACTCTAAGTATGCAAAAATATCTATTGACACTTGGTCATTAGCTTTCCAAAAAAAAAAAAGTTGTTCAAGGGAAACTATCACGTGAAAAGTGCAGATTTATGAACCATGCCAAGGCCTTGGGTGTCAAGGTAGTCCATGAAGCCAAACTGAAAGTAACAATCAAGCCTTTATTCACTTACTGTAGTAAGAGTGAGGCACCAGCCCACCAGGGTTCCTTTTTTTTTTTTTTCATATGCAGGTGAAGGTCTAATGACATGCAGGGCAGGCAAAGGGAACTGTCTAACTGCCCAGGAGCCACAAACAAGAGGCTCCTGCCTTTTTATAAACCCCAGGGGTCTCCAGAGCAAGAAACAGAGAGAACTAAGTGTAAAAAGTACTGAGTCAGAGTGGAGAAAAGTGGCTTAGTTGGAATCCTCCACTAAGAAGGTCTTGGCAGAGTCTCCTGAAGAGTACCTCAGCTGAGTCCCTCTAATAAAGAGGCCTCCAAATGGCGGCGCCTGGGCTAGGGATACTCGTGGGAATGCTCAGCCTGAGGTACCCTGAATTGTTGACTGCGACTCTCTACAGAAAACAGTAATGACTGGCCGTGCACCAAGTCTGGTGTGGACAAGGCAGTTTTCCCCCGAGGCCTACCGGGCACAGCCCTGAGATTGCCTCTGGATCACACAGAGGATTCTGGCCTGGTGCCAGAGTCTTCAAACTAATAGTGTTAGATCAAATAAATGCATTCCAGAGTTCTGAAGACCTGTAGCTCTCACAGATAGCACAGCAGAAATTAATTTTGCAATTTTTCATTATTCAAACTAGTTATTCATCCAAAGTTTCTATTTTATAAAAAAGTCTGATTTTATGTATTGTTGAATTTGAATTTGATATGAGCAGATGAAAGCAAATATAGCTGTTATTTCAGTGTCCATAGAATGGTTGACCTTAGATACTATAGCATATGACATTTACAATGTAGATGAAATACTATCTCCACCTGTGAATGACTGTTTTCTTGGGTTAGAATTTATTGCAGCAATTGTTAGAGTTTATCTGAAAGGAAAATAGTTTTTAAAGAGGAATAATGGTGAAGCAAAAAGCGTTAGCTACAATGATGCAGTTATATAGCAGCTATAATGAGAAAAGAACTGTTGCTGAGCTAAAAGTCTTTGAAACTAATAGTTAAATAGTTATTTATTAAAGTGAACTGTATATGAAATGTAATAAAGATATAAATTTTACTGAAGTAATTTTCTCTTCATTATAGAAATGTTTCTGACAATATTGAAAAGCAATGCAAAAGAAAAATCAGTGCTGTTCAGCTTTAAAGAATCATTTGAAAAGTAACGGATAAATAGAGAAGTTGTACTACCTGCAAATGCAAATAATTATTTCCTTACCAAGAAATCAAAGCATTTAATTAAATACTTTTCTTATTTTATTTTTAAGTTAGGCCTTTTTTTAAGCAAAAAGTTATATAGCGTAGTAAGAACAAAATATGAACAGGAAAGTTAACTTAATATTTGTATATGTTGTAAATATCCACCCCACACATACACAAAAGCCCTACTCCTTGAAGAATGTTATTTATCCGCTTTTAATTGAGCAATATTTTTGCTTGACATTTTCATCTGTTTTAAATTACAGTTTTTCCTCTAACTTATTCAAAGAAATGAATAGAACCTGAGCAAAATACTGAAAGTAAGTATCACAAAAATATACATGTGCAAAACATGTGACATGAGAGGATATGGTCTATCCATTATGTATTGTTGGTAAAGCCACATGACTCAGTGAGATGATCTAGAGCCTGGAAACCAAGTATGTATAATTGCTATTTCCAAGCTGCCACTGGGTTGCCACCATTGTGATAAAGTCACTATACTAATGGGACTATCTTTAGTAGCACAAGAATATAAATGACTTGAAAATTATTTAGGAATGTTTAGATAAACCTTCAAAGTCATTACAGATTTGTCAGAAAACTGAGCCATGAAAACAATAGGTTTTTCTCAGTTAGAGCTGAAAAGAACTTATTACACACGGAACAATATAAACAGCATTCAAGTATGCTTGGACTGTCGCAAATTATATTTCTTTTTATTTCTCTTCTCAAAGTAATTTGGTGGTGTAATATAAAATTTTCCACATTCATATCTTTAAATTTGTTGCTTCACACTTTGTTGATGAAATAGTTTTGTTACTTACAGTCCTGTGAATTCAGCAAAGGTACATATTGCAAACAAGCGTAACAATAATTTAGTGCCATACAGAATTAATGCTATTCTTTCAAATGTATTTGCCTGCATGATAATTTGAATTACATTGAACACATTCATAACATCAAAGTTGCCGCTATTCAATAGAGCTAAATAGATATAATCTTATCAAACACAATATGGATGCTCAAAACAAATATTTCACTTAGAGCAAGGTAAATCACATTCTTGCCTGATTTCTGTATGTTTGCACTTAAACATTAACCATATTAAAATGAAACTGACGGTGCTGTAACAATTTTTGTTGCTCAGCTAGCACATTTTTGCTTTTCTCAATAGGCAAGTAGCATAGCAAATTACATGGGTCTTCTTAATGCTAAGTCCAAGACAATTTCTCTTTGGTGCAAAATTATCTCTGCTATTTGAATTGAGAACTCAATATAAGTAAGCATAGAGTTCCAAAAATAATTGATAAAGCCAAATTCAATTAGAGTAGTTTCAGCTCCTTTTTTGCAGCTTAATCAAATTTGTGAAACTTAGTAACTTTGCAGAGTCATAATATGTCACAAACTACTTTGAAATAAGAATACAGGTCAGAGTCAGGACTATTATCTAGAAACTAAAACTGTCGGACTACTTTAGCTATTTTGCTGTGAATATGTTTCTGTTTTATCTATCGTAGTCTTTTAGCATAATGAAAAGCTATGCACTAGAATACAGAAATGCTTTCTTGCAAGAATAAAACAAAAAGGATTCAATAGTCAAATGATAATATTATTATGGCATTATATCTTTGACTTTCCTGGACATTTTTACCTTGGCCTAAAAGTACATACAAACTATAAATTGTTCTCCAATTAAGTGGATCAAGTGACATGCATATATGTGTACCTCGGGTACAGTCATGACCCATCTTCTTATCTAATCTTGACATAGAATCTCAGGCTCGAAAATCTATTCAGAGTATTTCTGGCTTTGGTAACATAGTGGAATAGAGAAGAGTGACTCTATCCCTTGAACCAATCTCCAAAAATGAACACTGCCTTTGTAAGAAATGTGGGATAAAGTTTAAGAAACATTCTCACAAGGAAGAAAAGGAAATCTCCAAGCAAAAGAAATAACACTGGAACTTAAATGCAGATTGTAAGAAGATGAGTTGGCATCAGGGCTGCATGGAGGTCTTAATTATTGTTCTTTATGACCTGAGCAAGGATTTAGTACTGGAACTTCCATGTAGTGCTGAAAATCTCAGAGATTGCATTCATATTAACAGCATGCACAGAGAAAGTCTGCCTAAATTGCACATGGGAATAATGAGGAAGCCAGTAGGTCCTCCTGGATCTGGGGTAGGTAAACATATCTTGAGAAGTCAGAACAATGGTTCTGCATCTGCTGGGTTTCTGGTTCAGTTTGTATCAATCAAATGGTTCTGAAAACCCTAGACTGAGAAATTAAAAGAGGTGTTGGCCCAGAAGGCAGTGGTAGGTGCAGGATACTAGGAAGAAGCAAATGCAAAATCTCTCTGGCCACACAGGATCCTTATTGATAAAGCCCTTGGAAAGCAAGCTCACAATCAAAGTTTGCAAAATGCTCAAAAGAATATGTCCTATAAGAGACAGTCAAGCAAGATTAATAGAACTTCAAAACTTTAAGCAATAAAGCAAACTGGTAAACATGAAGATTTCTATTTAAAATTACTATAAACATAATATAAAATTAAACCTATAAGAAAAAAGAGGCAAATAAATTAAATACATAACTGCAAGGGATTAGGGATATTTGAAAAAGAACTAAATATACATCTTAGATATAAAAAATGGCCATTGAAATTACAAACTTGATTGACAAGTAAGCTGATTAGAAACTGGTGAATAGGAAACTGGTGACCTGGAAGATAGATAACAGCTATAGTTTATTGAGTGCTTACTAAGTATACAACTAAGTGTTATATAATACTTGTGATAACATTATTTTAAATTATTGCTTGTTGTTATTATTATTGTGTTCATTCATATGTCCTGGCTGCCTGGAGTTTGTTAGTGATAAATTGACTGTCTCTGTAATCTTTGCTCTCACACACTCTGCTCTATTGCCTTTGAAGAAATTATATAGAATTCATCATGGAGTAATAAATAGAGGGACAATACAAAAAGATTAGGAGATGTGGAGGATGAAACTAAAAAGTCTAGTATACCTCCCCAATCACCATTTCTTCCTTGACCCTCTTTTGAGATGCACACATTCCTGCATTTCTAGCTTCTTCACTAGCTGCCACATCTCCATCTCTCATGCTTGTTCTTCCTCATTTTTCTGACTTCTTAACACCGGACCACACAGGGCTCAGTCTGTGGATTATATCTCTCCTCTCCGGGTGAGTCACTCACTCAATTATCTCATCCAGCCTCTAGCTTTAAATATCCTCTCTGCACTAAGAATTCCCAATTCATATCCTATATATACATATATCTTATATACAATTGTCCAAGTATTACCGCAAATTAATATGTCCGGAATGGACCTGATTTCCCAGTCCCCAAGTCTGTCCTCTCACAGTGTTGCTCTTCTTAGTTTCTTCTAGTTTCTTCAACCGTTTATTTTCTTTATCTCATACACCACATCTAACTCATCCAAAAAAATAATTTTGGCTAAAAGGTCTAATCACTGCTGACCATCTACCCCACCAAGCAACTGTAGTCCAAGCTACCATTATTATTCTCCTGGATTATTGCAGTAGCCGCCTCACTTAATGACCTGCTTCTGTCCTGATTCCCTTCAGTCTATTCTGAATGCTAAAGCCTGTAAAATCCTACTTAAATGTAAGTCAGGTGATGTCACATCTTTGCCAAAGCTCTCTAATGGCTTCCTAATTTACCCAGAGAAGTGAAAAGTCCTTACAATGGCTTATAAAATGCTTCATAATCTGGCTGCCACTGGCCCTCTGAAAACATAGAGAGCCAGAGGCAGGGGCGGCCAGATTATGAATGATTTAATAAGTCATTAATTTTCCACTCACCATTATACTCACCATTTATACTCCAGTGAGCACTGGCGTCTTCGAAAATTCTAGGCATGTTCCTACCTCATGCAGGTTTTCTCTCGCCATGGAACCTTCTTCCCACAGATATCCACATGACTTCTTCCTTCACTTATTTTTTCTTTCACTTTACTTAAATATCACCTTCTCTGTGAGTCTCTGTGAGTCTGTAATTGTAAAATTACAACCTATAAGAACTATTCATTTCTCATACCTGCTTTCTCATTAACACTCATTACAATTGTACACAAAATACATCTTTCATATTTTGTCAGTCTACATCTCCTAGAAGATAGGTAAGCTGATAAATCACTGATGGATCCCTATGTCAAGAAGAGGAGGTGGGCCCAAGCAGATGCTGAAGGCACAAATAGGCCACATGAGCAGATCGCCTGATTCCTTATGCATGCACCTGCCCCTGTTTTATTGCTGTGTCATCTCAACCCTCATTTATGGCCTCATGGAGAGTGCCTATGACTAGGTGATTAAGAACAAAAAATGTGCTTGGCAACTAATTGGCTCTTTTTAATATCACCAAACTTAAATGGAAGTCTATGGCATTAAAACCTCATGTAGGCAGTTGGTGGGAAGAGAAATCCTGTCTGCAGGCATAATTTTGAGCAGTGCATTTGGCTGTCCACTTTATCTTTATTGATCTGTAATGATTTGTGGAGGACAGTGTCAAATGTAGAGGAACTTAGAAGAAATAAGATTGAAGGATTGGAGAAAAAGTAGAAATAGTTTGCCAGCCCCAGACTCCGTGCTCTTCAGAACTAGCTGATTGTTCTTGCCACATAGGCTATCCTGACCACTGAAATTTGTGTGCACCCTTGTGAGGATTTGGGGGAAATGGAGGAGCTGCTTCCAGTCATGTTAATTCTTTTCTCATATATCTTTCACATGGATTCTGCTGGTTCAGTGACCTTTATAATGTAGTTGGTCCTCAAAGGTCTGCCATAGGTCACTGTATGTGCTGTATGTTAGAAATATTTCACAATTAAAATATAAGTGTTATTAAAAAGAAAGAAAACCTATGATAAGACTTCAGAAAAGATACACTGCTCCAAAATAGGTGGATTCTAGGCAAAGTAGTTATGAGAATCATTTGTCATTTCTATATTTCAAATCTATCCTCAAGTCCTCACTCATTTTTATCTTATTGTTTCGTAGCGTTTACAACCCCACCATGACATCCTATCCAGGTTATCCCACCGTTACATTGTCCTGTACTATAAAATTTATTCTACAGTTTTTGTTTTCCTTCTGTGAGTCCAAACTCTTATATCCTAATATTTAACATTTCCTGATTTGAGGTCTTAACATTTAAATCCTCATGACTAAATTTGAAATTCCCATTCCTGTTTCCACTAATTCCAGTGGTTTGTGATAGAGGATACTATTAATTCTAATGGATTATTCTTGTTCTCTCTTTCAAATTCCATTTTCTAAAATGAAGGACCAAGAGAGTAAAATCAACTTTGCTGAAGGGAAAATTGAAAGTAGTTTTTTGTTTGTTTGTTTGTTTGTTTTGTTGCCCTTCCTCTTTCCTTTCTACCCTGCCCTCATCCAATTCTTGCCCCACTGTCTTATCTTCTTAAATTTTTTTATTATAAGAAAAAGCTTTCCTCACTTACAAAGATTTGATAAAGCTAGTAATTAATTTTATTTTGTATCTTTGCTTGTGTAGGATAATTATTTCTTGTCCAGACATTCAGAGCCTCTGCTTTTTAATAGAAGAAAGAAGACTTATTTCTTGTTTATACTAAATGCAGAGGATTTTAATATGCCCAAATTGTAATGCAACAATATTAAATTTCAAGACAACAAGCATGGACTGGTTGTGAAATTTTATAAGTAACTTTTTAGAATATTAGAACTTAAAACCATAACAAAAAGCAAGTTAATTTTAATTTTTTAAATATGGAAAGTTAAGGAGTAAGACTCCACCAATAAATAAGGCTAAATATTGACAATCCTTTACAAAATATACTAGTGTTTTTATGCCTCAATTGCAATCATGGATTTAAAAATAAGAAAAGCAGTAACATTGTTATAAATTTATCTCAAAAGGTTTATATTATCAAGAAAAAAGACGTAAAATGTAATAAATTTATTAACTACATTTCCCCAGCATGTTAATTTTTTATGTGTCCTTAAAACTCCATGTGTTAAGGACTTCACTTTAAAAATATTTTGAAATCAGCCGGGCGCCGTGGCTCACGCCTGTAATCCCAGTACTTGGGAGGCCGAGGCGGGCGGATCACGAGGTCAGGAGATTGAGACCATCCTGGCTAACACGGTGAAACCCCGTCTCTACTAAAAATACAAAAAAATTTAGCTGGGCGAGGTGGCGGGCCCCTGTAGTCCCAGCTACTCGGGAGGCTGAGGCAGGAGAATGGCATGAACCCGGGGGGCGGAGTGAGCTGAGATCGCGCCATTGCACTCCAGCCTGGGCGACAGCAAGACTCCGTCTCAAAAAAAAAAAAAAAAAAAAAAATACGTTGAAATCATGGAAAGAGTTTTCTATTAAGCAAATTGCTTTAATTTTATTTCAGGAGAACAAAACAAATTTTTATAATTGAAATAATTATTGTATTTTAAGAAAGTATTCATATAAAAGAAGCTGAAATGTTATAGAAAAATATCATGACTTGTTACTTTGTATTATAGTAGGATATTGGGTCCTGATTGTATAACTGGGTCTTTGAGATGTTTTAAAGGATAATCTATTGAAGATAATAATTGGTTGGCTATAGGTATTTGTATGGTGACACCTGGTGTACCAAAAGTTGGATTGTGAAGAAGAGCTTACTTATGAAAGTTATTCCAATGATCTCATTTGCTATTGTTGAATGGCAAGTAGAGCTACGTTGGCTATCTCCATTCCTAGTCCCTTCATATGTGATAACTTATCTTAATAATCAAACTGCTGGTAAGGTCTCACTTTCATGGTTCCTTGGATTTGTTACACATGTCACTACCCAGATGGATGTGAGAGTTCCATGGCTCTCCTGGAATGTGTGGACCACTTTTTCCTCTACTCCCTGTTTTGATATTGGGCTTCTGAGAAAGAAAAGAGGAGTTCTTTACTGTAATAATTTCCTAGACCTCTGAGGAGACTTTGGTAACTTTTCCATTTAACAAGTTTTTTAGTTTTTCAGAAATGTATTTGTTCAACAGTTGAATTGTGAAGAAATGTTAAAGCATTCTATGTATCTGGTTAAAATGGTACAGGTACAATGAAAGGTTACTTTGTTAGATGACAAAGTGATACATGGAGAATTTGCACAGCAAGGGTTCTTATAGAAAAGACCTTTCTATCTAGTTGGGGAGAAGATACAGATGCAGGAAAACATTAATGAATGAAGTAGCATACTGTGGTGCCAAGTATTGACGAAATGCATAAATTCAAGTGCTACAAGTGTAACATATTTAATTTATTCAGTCTGAATTAAAGCACAGATATAAATGAGGATTAAAGTTTTCAAATCTCTTTAAGTGGCTTTCAATTACATTCTATTCAGCAGAAGCTTGAGCTTCTGTTCTATATGAAGGCCCTGCAGGAACAACGTAAGTGACGCATGATGTTGTCTTTCAAGGAGTGTAGGCATGTTGGCTACAGTGATGAATCAGAGAATAAACCCATGCTGGAATAGGGTGCATATTTTTAAACAATTTTGAAGATAATAATCCAGTAATATTACCTAGGCTTATAAAAGTAGGAATCATATATATATAGCTTTTATGATATTCTAGTGATTTGTAAGAAAATGACAAACCTGTAAGAACATTTTGAAACAAATGCTGAGTGATGATATACAGTTCCTC
Organism: Homo sapiens; assembly: GCF_000001405.40. Classification (NCBI taxonomy): domain Eukaryota; kingdom Metazoa; phylum Chordata; class Mammalia; order Primates; family Hominidae; genus Homo; species Homo sapiens. The sequence continues at coordinate 137,901,618 of NC_000004.12, read as the reverse complement.
AAAAATCATATCCATCAAACAGGCTGTCTCTCTGTTGTGGGCTAAATTGTACTCCCTCAAAAATTCAACTTGAAGTTCTAAATCCTCAGTTCCTCAGAATGTGACCTGATTTGAAGATAGGGTCTTTAAAGAGGCATTTAAGCCAAAATTAGGTCATGAGGGTGGACCTTCATATGATATGGCTGGTGTCCTTATAAGAAGAGGAGACCCGGACACAAATGTATACAGAGGGAAGATAATGTGAGGACACAGGGAGAAGATGGCCATTTACAAGCTAAGGAGTAGCCTGGAATAGATTCTTCCCTAACAGACCTCAGAAGGAGCCAACACTGCCAACACCTTGATCTTGTACTTTTAGTCTTCAGTACTGTAAACAAATAAATTTTTATTGTTTAAGCCAATGAATCTGTGGTATTTTTTTATGGCAGCTTTAGGAAACTAATGTGCTCCCTTTTTTAATTCTAATGTAGTAATCATCATAAATCTGAGATGGCCATTTATGCCATTGGGAGTGGGAAATAATATCTGTCTAATTTTAAAATTATGTTTTCTAAGAATTTCATTAGTCTAACCAAATAATAAAAAAACTGATGGCTAATGGTTTTACATGTATTAACTCATTTAATTCTTACATGAATAATCATAAAAAGTAATTTCTAAAATTATTCTCATTTTATAGATGAGAAACCTAAACACTAAGCAATTAAGTACCATGCCAAAATCCCAGCAACAGCTGGAATGCAAATCCCAAAAGTCTGACTCCAAACTTGTACTCTCAACTATTTCTCAGAAATATGCATTTTTCTTAGCATTGCTTTGAGATGTCAAGAAAGGCCATATAAGTGAATGTCAATATACTAAGTACTTTTTTTTCATGTGTGGCAGGTACAGTTTTTCAAAATCTATAACAATGCTTCCACTCTGAAAGAATAGACTATTTCTTCTCCCCTTGCACTGGGTGGGATTTTATTACTGCCTCAATGCATAGGAAATGGTGAAAGTGATGCTACATGAATTCCATGATTAGTTCAGAAAAGGTTACATGGTCTGTGCTTGCCTCTCTCATGATAGGTTCCTCCTTGAACCAAGATGGGATATATGATTTGTAAAGACCACTAAAAAAAATGCAAATGTTGACCCTTGTTGACAAATCATGAAGAAACTGAAGATGGTGACAACAGAGTATTCGACCTAGAGTGAGGCCTTTGTAATTGCAGGATCCTGTGCACCAACACAGGCTGCATGCCCATGAAGCTGGCCCCACTGGGAATACAGCCACGGTTGGCTTGATGTGCAACTTTAACAAATTAAGATATATGTATTTATGTCTAAAAATGTTGACCTTTAATTTTAATTGTGTGTTTGGAAAGAGACAGTTGAACTTAAACACACATAAATTATTCACTTCTCATCCTATTACTTATCCTATCCACCTTAGGTGAAGAGTAAGCGTAAGTATTTTTTTCTTAAATGCTAAGCACTGGATGAAAGTCCTCTGACAATCACAACACTATTTGTCAATACAGTAGTAAACATTTGTTTCAGATTTAAAAAAGTCATTTATTTCCCTTGCTTATAAAATAGGAGTCAAGAGTTATCTGGCTGTACTTTATTGAATAAAATATAAGAATCTCATTTAAAAATTCATTGATATTAATGACGTAAATTAAATTCAGATTTTACAGATTTATTTAAAAATATAATTTTCACTGGCTACTTTCCGAGAAGTTGGCATCTACTAGAAATTTTTATTTCTATGTCGTCGTGAATTACAAAATTAAGATAGGGGATTAATGCTTCTTTAGAAAATCACTTTCAGGGCCGGGCGCGGTGGCTCACGCCTGTAATCCCAGCACTTTGGGAGGCAGAGGCGGGTGGATCACGAGGTCAGGAGATGGAGACCATCCTGGCTAACACAGTGAAACCCCACCTCTACTAAAAATACAAAAAATTAGCCCGGCGTGGTGGCGGGCGCCTGTAGTCCCAGCTACTCGGGAGGCTGAGGCAGGAGAATGGCGTGAACCCGGGAGGTGGAGCTTGCAGTGAGCCGAGATCATGCCACTGCACTCCAGCCTGGGCAACAGAGCAAGACTCCGTTTCAAAAAAAAAAAAAAAAGAAAATCACTTTCAGGTGAACTGTCACTTTTTCTGTCTCATGGAAAAAACTGGCTTACAGAAGTGGAAAGTTTAAATTCATAAATAATTTAGAGAGAATATAGTAGCATAATTAACTCATGGAATAGTATATATACTGCTCCTACCAAGTTAATACACTGGTGGTGTTTATTATTAATACTAGTACTAATAGCTAAACAAAATTGAGTATGTATGATATGTCTGCTACTATTCTGAGTTTCACACAATTCTAAGCAATAAACACTATGATTATATCCACTTTACAGATGAGCCAAATGAGACATGAAGAGTATAATTTGTTCACAGTCCAAATCAGAGCTGTGATTCACACCCAGTAAATTTCCCTATACCATGCTTTTAACAAATATGTCAACAAGTTCTCAAAGTGTGTTTTGCAGAATTCCAGGGTACCATAAGAATTTTCGGGGATTTGTGGGGTCAAAATGATTTTCATAATAACACTGAGACATTATTTGCCTCATTTCACTATGTTGCATTTGCACTGATGGTGCAAAAAGCAAAGATAGGTGAAACTTCATGTACCTTAGCATGAACCAAGGCAAGGGTATCAAAGTGTGCTAGTAGTTGTTGTGTTCTTTATCACCATGCATTTGCAGGGGTAAAAATGCAGTTTGGCTGGGCACTGTGGCTCACGCCTGTAATCCCAGCACTTTGGGAGGCCGAGGCAGGCGGATCACCTGAGGTTGAGAGTTCAAGACCAGCCTGACCAACATGGAGAAACCCTGTCTCTAATAAAAATACAAAATTAGCTGTGCGTGGTGGCGCATGCCCAGCTACTCGGGAGCCTGAGGCTGGAGAATCACTTGAACACCAGAGGTGGAGGTTGCGGTCAGCCGAGATCACACCATTGCACTCCAACCTGGGCAACAAGAGCGAGATTCTGTCTCAAAAAAACAAACAAACAAACAAACAAAAAAAGCAGTTTACTTAAGATTGTGCTTCATGAAACAGTAAAACGTATTAATTAAAAATCTCTACCTGTGAGTGTACATCTTATTATTAATCTGTATGACTAAGAAGTACATATAAAATACTTCTGCTAAATATTATAGTATGATAATCGTCCAAAAGAGAGACAATTGTTTGAAATGTGAACTTTCCAAAATGACAATTTTTTAAAAAAATGAAACACTGTGTTTTACCTAAAAACAACTGCTGTACAAATTAAGTTTATCCAAATTTGGGTATTTGGCAGACACTATCTCAAAAAATATATGCAGTAAAACTATTACTTCAAGAAAAACTACTGACAATATTTGTTGGCAATAAAAACTTTGAATTTGAAGTTCAAGTTAAAAATTTAAAAATCTCATATCCAAATCTTCTTACCTTCCCAATACTACTAGATTTTTCTGATGAGAGTGGTACTACTATTAATGAATGTGGTTTATTTATACTCTCTAATAAAATGTATCAACATTTGGAAGAACTGCATTGTTGAGTGAAACAATATTTTCCAAATGACTAATGCATGATATTACGAAATTGTTTATGGGTAATCTAGCTATTGAAAAATGCAAGATAGATCAATGGATTTTGCCTTAATAGGAAACAAAAAATTAATTGATACTGTTTAAATTTCATATTGCCAATAACCTTAAATACTACCACTTATTGAGTTTTGACATAAAGGAGAATATACACAATTATCTGGAAAAGCTACTAAATATAGTCCTTTATTTTCCATCTGTGATATTGTGGGAGGTCAGATTTTCTTCATATATTTCAATCAAAACAATGAAATGTAACAGATTGAATATAGTAGCAGATATAATGATCCAGCTGTATTCCAATGAGTCAGCCATACACAGATATTTTAAAAATAAGTTTTGTCACTAACTTTTGTGTTGGAAAAATAGAGCTATATTTTGTAAAATGTTATTTGTGTTAAACATAACAGAGCTATTGTTATAGTTCATTGAATTAATACATTTACATTGTTTGCTTTAATTTTTATATGGTTAATATTGATAGCTATAATCCACATTTTAAAAAGCTCTTTGAGGTCCTGAATAGGATTTAAACATGTGAAGGGGTCCCGAGCCCTAATATTTTGAGGACTCTGAGGTTATATTAAGCTGCATTAATTATCTATAAATAGTACATCAATTATATATAAGTGGTTACTTCTAAAGTGCTTTAAAAAATATGGATATATATATATATATATCCTTTGCTATTTGCAGATTGTTTATTTGGATCTATTCTCACAAGAGTTTGCATTTTTGAAAGCTAAAATAATTGAGAATACAAAGTCTCCAGAGGCAATTTCTTTCATCTTTTGATAGCTCTGCAATGAGAAAAGTTTTGGTTATTTTGGACCCAAATCAATAATTCTGAAATTCTGCAATCTAACAAACATGGCAAGTAATTTTAATTAACATTAAAATTTAACAACTACCATTTGGTTAAGGTAGGTCAGATAGGTTAGCACATAGTACCAGTATATTATCAATTGAGATTGATACTGAGCTTAACTTTTATTCAGATCCATGTGTCCCCACTTCCCAGACATTGTTGCTAAATCAAATTACCACTTTCTTCCATCTTTTGGAAGCAAATGCAAGAGTTTATATTTGCCCACTCTGAAGTCATGTAACTAAGCTGATCACTCTGTTACATTAAAATTTATCTAGATTCTAATTACTTATGACCATTTTCTATTATTTATAAATTTTGTAAAATGTATTCAATATCTTTGTTCATATTATTGATTAAAATATAATGAACAAATGTCTCTCTAAATTTCTGTGTGTAACCTACATTTCTTTTCCTATCCATTAGGCTACATGAAAACCTTAGACAAATGCCTTGCTAAATCCATGTAAGAAAAGACAATTAGATTAGTCATAATGGCATATACTAACTGAACCCATTAATATTACTGTTAATGGGTTTATTTTCTAAGCACATAAATTTTAAATATCTAATTCAAGAACCTTGTCCAGGATCGTATAATCACATCCGTTTATGATTTGCAGAATGTGATATAGTCTTCTTTTTGAAAACAAGCTACATCTTTTCTTTTTCTCATGATTCATCCAACAGAAATGCAAACCATCTCATGGCTTTATCTGAAACTTCTTTCAGTATCTTTTTTTTTGAGACAGAGTCTCGCTCTTGTCACCCAGGGTGGAGTACAGTGGTGCGATCTCGGCTTACTGCAACCTGTGCCTCCTGGGTTCAAGTGATTCTTCTGCCTCAGCCTTCTGAGTAGTTGGGAGGATTACAGGCATGAGCCATCACGCGGGCTAAATTTTTTTTTTTTTTTTCAGTAGAGATGGGGTTTCACCTTGTTGGCCAGGCTGGTCACGAACTCCTGACCTCAGGTAATCCACCCATCTTGGCCTCCCAAAGTGCTGGGATTAGAGGCGTGAGCCACCGCACCTGGCTTCTTTCAGTATCTTGGTACACAGTATGTATCAGAGTTTGTTGTCAAATTACTCCCAGATCAGGTTCTTTCTGTATGAGAGAATTCTGTTTTCATCTACTAGCTGGAGGAGCCTTCTCTTAAACTTGAGTAACAACAGCCCAGCAGCAAGAAATGCACACAGGCTTAAGTCAAAGACTTGCCTTCAAATGCCAAGTGATACAGAAACTGAAGGCCGGTTTTTAAATTTTATTGAGGACAGCCTACCCTAGCTATATAATTGCTTAATAGAACCCACACTGCAGTGATGTAGGGAGGTTAGATATTATGTATTCAAAGCATAGGGCACAGCATAAACAAAATTTCCTTTTATGGTTATTCAGTGCTTCCTCCCTTCCTCCCTTCCTCCCTTCCCTTCCCTTCCTTTCCCTTCCCTTCCCTTCCCTTCCCTTCCCTTCCCTTCCTTTCCCTTCCCTTCCCTTCCTTTCCCTTCCCTTCCCTTCCCTTCCCTTCCCTTCCTTTCCCTTCCCTTCCTTTCCCTTCCCTTCCCTTCCTTTCCCTTCCCTTCCTTTCCCTTCCCTTCCCTTCCCTTCCTTTCCCTTCCCTTCCCTTCTTTCTTTTCCTTTTTTTTCACTTTAAGTTCTGGGATATATGTGCAGAATGTGCAGGTTTTTTACATAGGTATACATGTGCCATGGTGGTTTGCTGCACCCATCAACCCATCATCTGCATTAGATATTTCTCCTAATGCTATCCCTCCCCTAGCGCCCTAGCCCACCACCCACTGACAGGCCCCAGTGTGTGTTGCTCCCTTTTCTGTGTCCATGTGTTCTCATTGTTCAACTCGCACTTATGAGTGAGAAAATGAAGTGTTTGGTTTTCTGTTCCTGTGTTAGTTTGCTGGGAATGATGTTTTCCAGCTTCATCCATGTCCCTGCAAAGGACATGAACTTATCCTCTTTTATGGCTGCATAGTATTCCATAGTGTATATGTGCCACATTTTCTTTATCCAGTCTATCATTGATGGGCATTTAGGTTGGTTCCAAGTCTTTGCTCTTGCGAATAGTGCTGGGCATGTGTCTTTATAGTAGAATGACTTATAATCCTTTGGGTAATGGGATTGCTGGGTCAAATGGTATTTCTGGTTCTAGATCCCTGAGGAATCACCACAGTCTTCCACAATGGTTGAACTAATTTACACTCCCACCAACAGTGTAAAAGTGCTCCTATTTCTCGACATCCTCTCCAGCATCTGTTGTTTCCTGACTTTTTAATGATCGCCATTCTAACTGGCGTGAGATGGTATCTCATTGTGGTTTTGATTTGCATTTCTCTAATGAACAGTGACGATGAGCTTTTTGTTTCATGTGTCTGTTGGCTGCATAAATGTCTTCTTTTGAGAAGTGTCTGTTCATATCCTTTGCCCATTTTTTGATGTTATTTTTTTTCTTGTATATTTGTTTAAGTTCTTTGTGGATTCTAGATATTAGCCCTTTGTCAGATGGGTAGATTGCAAAAATTTTCTCCCGTTCTGTAGGTGCCTGTTCACTCTGATGATAGTTTCTTTTGCTATGTAGAAGCTCTTTAGTTTAATTAGATCCTATTTGTCAATTTTGGCTTTTGCTGCCATTGCTTTCGGTGTTTTAGTCATGAAGTCCTTGCCCATGCCTATGTCCTCAATGGTATTGCCTAGGTTTTCTTCTAGGGTTTTTATAGTTTTAGGCCTATGTTTAAGACTTTAATCCATTTTGTATAAGGTGTAAGGAAGGGGTCCAGTTTCAGTTTTCTGCATTGGCTAGCCAGTTTTCCCAACACCATTTATTAAACAGGAAATCCTTTCCCCATTGCTTGTTTTTGTCAAAGATCAGATGGTTGTAGATGTGTGGCGTTATTTCTGAGGCGTCTGTTCTGTTGCACTGGTCTGTATATCTGTTTTCTTTGTTCTTCCTCTTCTTCTTCTTCTTTTTTTTTTTTTTTTTTTTTTGAGACCGAGTCTCACTCTGTCACCCAGGCTGGAGCGCAGTGGTGTGATCTCAGCTCACTGCAACCTCCACTTCCCATGTTCAAGTGATTCTCCTGCCTCAGCCTCCTGAATAGCTGGGATTACAGGTGCACGCCATCATGCCCAGCTTAATTCTCTTCTCTGAGTCTTGTGCTCTTTCCTTTATTCTTTCTCAGCTCATCTCCATATTAACTGATCTATAGACTCTTCTAAAATCATAGATTTGTATAGACTCGTTTGTTTCGTAGAGTTGCACTGGGCATTGGTTTTTGTAATTAATGGTCCCTTTTATCTTCCTCAAGATATTTTATGGCTGGGCGCGGTGGCTCACGCCTGCAATCCCAGCACTTTGGGAGGCCGAGGCGGGCGGATCCCGAGGTCAGGAGATCGAGACCATCCCGGCTAAAACGGTGAAACCCCGTCTCTACTAAAAATACAAAAAAATTAGCCGGGCGTAGTGGCAGGCGCCTGTAGTCCCAGCTACTTGGGAGGCTGAGGCAGGAGAATGGCGTGAACCCGGGAGGCGGAGCTTGCAGTGAGCCGAGATCCCGCCACTGCACTCCAGCCTGGGCGACAGAGCGAGACTCCGTCTCAAAAAAAAAAAAAAAAAAAAAAAAAACCATATAGCTAGGAAAGTAGCATATACAGGACTGTTTGTCAATATAATGTGATATTCAACTTACTGCTGAAATAGATTGGTTTTGTAATTCTTTATTTTTAATTCTTATTTAATAGGTCTGTCATAAAATAATAATAAAATAAATAAGATGCTAAAAGGACATACATTCTCATGTCAAAGGTGGAAGACATTTTTTCATGAGTATTATACTTGCTTTACTTTATGGACTGAATATACGATTTAAACATTTACACCATTGTTTTGAGAATCACCTTTCTTAGCTATGTAAGCAATGCGCTTACACACAGTTTTATAATTCAGAATGAGGCAATTAATTCTGTAAGTGCCTTCATAACACCCTACATACTTCATGAAGCTGCTCTTACTTGATTTGCCTTGGTAATTTTTGTTTGAAGTTGTATCACAATTATTTTATTTATAATTTACCATTTCAATTGGCTCTCAACATCAATTTTCACATTTGCAATGCAGAGTAACCAAAGCATAAAATAGATTTTTTTCCTCATTAAATAATAAAAACAGCATCAAAACACTCAGCTTCTTTGTTTAAACTGAAGTAACTATGTTACCATTTTACTAATTTTCTTTTCAGCAGCCTGGAGCTAGAGCATATTCTTTTCAATGAAGAGACAAGATGTGACATTTATGTATTCATATTATATATGTTCACTACAGTAAATAAAATATGTGAAGCAATGAAAAAAGTGAAAGTTCATTTTGACATCTGACTTTACATCATAATTTTGGTCTGGCTTTTTGAGTCTAGACTTTTCTGGTTCACTCAGCTGCAATGACTTTATCATATAGCAAGTAAATATAATGTTACTGTAAGCACAAAGGATCACAGGAAACAAAATGATTGATTTTATTCTCTTAATTTCTAATCAAAACCTCTGCAACATGTACGTGCTGGCTCAGAATTTCTGAAGTTGAAAGCTGTAGAATGTGAACAATTTTCTTTCCCAAGGCTATAACTTTATTTTTCTCACCGAACTCTAGAGAGAGGTTACAGAGAAAGAGGGATAAGAAGTCAAACCTTAGCATTTTGCAATTGCTCACAGAGGCTAGTTAGTGACTCAGTTGCTCCTGTAGCAGCTGTAACAAAAGATTTTGCCCAGAGGCAAATGTCCACAGAAGGCATTTCTTTCCTAGCGTGCCTCATAGCTCTGCTTCAGGCTAAACTTACGGCTTTTGTTTACTTTTCAAATCTGCATTTTCAACAATTTTATCTGAATACTAAGTCATATTACAAGTTTTCTGTATTTAAAAAAAAATCACTAACATGCCCCTGCTGTTCCCTTTTCCCCAACCCACCGAATTCTTAAATGATTAAAAACCAATCTATTGGAGGAAACTATATTGATACAGTAGTACTATACTGTACAGATCTCATCAATATTAATGTCTGCTTATTGGGAAATTCTAGGCAGCATGGAGAAAAACAAATGTTTTATAATTTTTAGAGCTGATTTTGAGACTGACTCAAAAATTAGGTGTAAAGTAATAATTAAAGCCTCTATGATGGAGCATAGAGCTTTGTTGTGTGTTATGCAGTAAGAAATGACCTGACATTTTGATAAAGATGAATAAAATAATAAACTGGATTAACATAATTATATACTAGGAAGATAAGAATGGAAAATACCACAAGAAAATATTGAAGACTGGCCAGTGTTTACGCCAGATTCTTGTAGAGAAACTGGAAGTTAACATGAAACCTCAAAGACTACTGTATTTTAATGATTATATTTTTATATAACAAGTAAATAAATCTCATAAGTGTCTTAAAAATATCTGTTCACATCTTCATTAATTCCCATGTGATACAATGTGGCATATAGAACACAAGACTGTGCGGTTCCTTTGGGGTTAAGTCAAGGTTAAATTTCCACAATGAAGAAAATTAAGTGTATTAGTTTGTTCTCACACTGCTAATAAAGACATGCCAGAGACTGAGTAATTTATAAATAAAAGAAGTTTAATTGACTCACAGTTCCACATGGCTGGGGAGGCCTCACAATCGTGGCAGAAGGTGAATGAGGAGCAAAGTCATGTCTTACATCGAGCAGGCAAGACGGCATGTGCAGGGTAACTGCCCTCTATAAAACTATCCGATTTTTTAGACATATTCACTATCATGAGAACAGTATGGGAAAAACCTGCCCCCATGATTCAATTAACTTCCACTGGGTCCCTCCCACATTACGTGGGGATTATAAGAGCTATAATTCGAGATGAGATTTGGGTGGGAACACAGCCAAACCGTATTAGTAACCAAACTACACTCCTAAAGAATACTGTCTTAGGAGATACAGTGATGCACCTATATCACGCCTATCTCATATTCTGTGACATCAGGAAATGTATGCACTATTTTGTGGATGTTTTCACATGCAACTCAATATAAATTCCAGTGTATCCATATGCTAATTTCAAAGAGCTCTATAACTTCCTAAAGCCATTAAAACATGTCAGAGTAATTCATTTTTTGCTTGAGGGTATGTCTGATTATTCTGAAAATCTTCTGGGATTCTCATCTTGTTTTCATTATCACCATCCATTTTTTTCTTCCTTTGTGTATTCAGAAGTATATAGGCATAACTTTACATTGTAAAAGTAAAACAAAAAATGGCAACATTTTGTTAGATATATGTTGTTATATACACTGTTATATATATGTTTATAAACATATATGTGCATATACACACACATGCAAACATGTAGCACCATTTGTCTTATGAACTGAATGTTTGTGTTCTCCCCAAAATTCATACGGTAAAGCCCTAACCCCCAACGTTATGGTATTTGAAGCTGATGTCTTTGGGAAGTAATTTGCTTTAGGTAAAAAATCATGAGGGTAGGGGACTCATGATGGAATTAATGCCCTTATAAGACAAGGAAAAGACACCAGATTTCTTTCATAGCCCTATACGAGCACACGGTTAGAAGGCAGCCATCTGCAAGCCAGGAAGAGAGGCCTCACTAAAACCCAACCATGCTGGTACTCTGATATCAGAGTTTAGTCACCAGAACTGTGAAAAATAAATGTCTGTGGTGTAAGCCACCCAGTCTGTGTTTTGTGTTCTGATGGCTTGAGCTAAGACAATTTGCTAATGTTCATATGTTAAAATGTTACATTTGTCTATTTTAAATTCTAATATTCCAGTAGAAAATTAATATATGCATATGAAGAAAAAATTAAAAGACAATTAAATGTAAGTTTCTTTTCTGTACAAGATTCTACAGGGCCCTTTTTGATATGTAAATATCATCACTATTAGCTTTTGCATCCTCCCAGAATTATCCTATGAATATGCACAAACACATTTATATTTTTAACAAAAAATAGATCATGTTATATATAAATTTTAACTTATGCTGAGCTCTATTTTCAGTTAGTAAGACAGCATAAATTTTGACTCATTCCACATCATTAAATAAGATCATATTACATTACACAAATAAGATCATATTACACTAAATAAGATCATATTACATTAAACAAATGTATTATAATACATTTATTGAGTGGTATATTAATGAACATTTGACTTATTTCCAGGGATTTGCTAATACAAACAATGCTACAATGAAAATTTTTGTACCTGTCTTTGCACAATTATCACAATATGGTATGATTAAATCAATAGAATGCAGAGGATATGACATTGTGCCTCTTTTGTGCTATGGGAAGCAAACTGCCATATAAGAAGTTCAGCTATCAAAGACTACCATGCTCTCTCCAAAATGCAAAATTATGAGTAAATAATGCAATGTTTTAATTACTCATTTTTTGTGGTAAGTAGTTACACAGCAATAGATAACTGAAATAAGCTTTATTTAATATAAGACTTTTTGTTTATTAAAAGACATCATTAAAAAAATAGAAAGGAAGCCAAGGATTGGAAGAAGACATTTACAATACATACAACTGGAAAAGGACTTATAATGAGATTATATAATGCACTCCTTTGGCTGTGTCCCCACCCAAATCTCAGCTTAAATTGTAACTCCCATAATTCCCATGTGTCATGGGAGGAATCCTGTGGTAGGTGATTGAATTATGGGGGCAGGTCTTTTCTGTACTGTTCTCATGATAGTGAGTGAGTCTGTCTCACAAGATCTGATGGTTGTAAAAATGGGAGTTTCCCTGTACAAGCTCTCTTTCTTTGCCTGCTGCCATCCATATAAGACATGGCTTGCTCCTCCTTGCCTTTCACATTCTGCCATGATTGTGAGGCCTCCCCAGCCACATGGAAGTGTAAGTCCATTAAACCACTTTCTTTTTTAAATTGCCTAGTCTCAGGTATGTCTTTATCAGCACTGTGAAAACATACTAATACAAAACGAATAGTAAAAGACAGAAAATCCAAATACTAAATAGTCAGAAGACTTGAGATACATCACAAAACAATACATCAAAACAGACAATAATTATATAAAAGATTGTCAACATCATTAGTAATCATAAACATGCAAAGTAAACCACATGGAGATATCAACACAGAAACATCAATGAGTAAATAAAAAGTTTGCCAATACTGGATTGGTAACAAGGATTGTTATCAATGAGTGTACATGTTCACCAAAAGACAGATAAAAGAATGTCCATAACATGTTTACTCATAAAAGCCAACAACTGGAAGCAACCAAATGTAAAATAAGTATTATATTCAAGCTATTGTATACTATACAGCAGTAAAAAAGAATATACTATTACTATCTGCAATTACATGGTTAAATATTACTTCTCTTTTTGACTTTATAAGTGACATGTTTCTGTCTAAAATAATTATTTTGCTTTTACAGGATTTCCTCAATTAGAAATTATTTTAAAATATTGTTTTCTTCTAGCACTATTATAGATGAAAAATTTAATATTTAAATATTTGATTCATTTGCAATTAATGTTTAACATTTCTTAGTCTATATTGCAACATTGGTACAGCACTCATATTTTCTTCATTAATTCAGAATCTTAATTGATCAGATATTATATTTCTCTGTTCATGTGTATTTCTCAGTTTTCTAATGGTGTCATTAATGTTGCTACCCATTTATGTGCCAATATAAACCTATTTTAATTATTAAAGTTTTATAATATTTTTCTTTATGTGGTAAAACTATATCCCCTTAAATAATTTTTTTTTCAGAATACTCTGGCCTTTTAAATCATTTTGAATTTTTTTGTGAATAACTTTAATATTAGAACTGTTGAGTGTCAAAAACTATTTGATACTATTAAACCTCAAAATAATTTAGAGGAGAAATGACATATTTAAATATTAAGGACTTCTAATAAAATAAACAAGTTTCATGGATCTATTTAAGTTTTACTTTATGTCCTACAAAAAATTTTCATATTTCCTTTATATAGCAGTTCCCCCTTTTTCTCAGGGGATACGTTCCAAGACCCCAAGGGGATGCCTGAAACCACAGATAGTACCAAACCCTAAACATACTATGCTTTTTGCTATATATACATGCCTATAATGAAGTTTAATTTATCAGTTAGGCACAGTGAGAAATTAACAGCAATAATAATAAAATAGAACATTTATAACAATGTACTGTGATAAAGTTATATAAATGTGTTCTTTCTCTATTTTAAAATCTTATTGTACTGTACTATGGGCAATTAAAATCACAGAAGGCAATAATACAGATAAAGGGGGGACTACTGTATAATTCTGCATATGTCTTAAATACATTGCAATTATATATGTCAGCTCTTTTTCCATTCTCTTTCTTTCTCTCTTTCTTTTTCTTTCTTTCTTTCTTTCTTTCTCTTTCTTTCTTTCTTTCTTTCTTTCTTTTTTCTCCTTTATTCCTCTCATTTTTCTTCTTTCTGTTACGAATGAAGTCATTTCTCATTAGATTTGTTTGTTCTATATACAAATAATTGACATTCTTATTGATTGTATAGCTATATGTGTTAATAGAGTTTCTTACAGTTTCTGATTATATTCTGGTTGATTCCTCAGAATTTTGCAGAAATGCAATAACATCATCTGCCAAATATATTCTTATTTATATACTGTATGCATAATTAGACTACTTGTTAATACCAGAATATTTTAAATACTTAAAAAATAATTTGTGTTTTCGTGATGCTGATATTGTCGAGATTATGTTTTTAAAGTTTTTATTTACCAGCAAGTTGTTCCTTAAAAATGTCACAAACTATTGCAATATTCACCCTGATTTTAGGTAGAGTGTCTGTATGTCTGCGTTTGTTTTCATTAATGGATTTATAACAGCAACTCTCTTTTTTTTAGCACTTACTAAGTTATATACTTTTCTCCTTTGCAAACTGTAATTCTGCTAAGGGGTTAACATCCGAAATACAGAAGGAGCTCATACAACTGAATAGCAAAAAATCCAAATAACCCATATAAAAATGAGCAAAGGACCTGAAGAGACGTTTTTCAAAAGAGCATATACAAGTGGCCAATCGTTATATTAAAAAATGCTCAAAATCACTAATCATAAGGAAAATACAAATCAAAACCTTGATGAGCTATGACCTCACACGCGTTGGAATGACTGTTATTAAGAAAAGCAAAGGATGCAAACAAAGAAGAACACTTGTCCAGTGTTGGTGGGAATGTAAATGGGTATAACTGTTATAAAAAGCAATATGAAGATTCCTCGAAAAGTTAAAAATAGGGCTACCATATGACCCAGCAATCCCATTTCTGGGTTCAAATCCAAAGTCATTGAAATCAGGATACTGAATAGTTTGCTGAACTCCCATGTTTATTGAAGTATTATTCACAATATCCAAGATGTAGAAACAACCTAAATGTTTATCCATGGATGAATGAATGAAGTAATCATGGCATATACTAAATTATGGTAAAATTCTGCCATTTGTGATACCGCAGATGAACTGGAGGGCATTATATTAAGTGAAATAAAACAGACACAGAAAGATAAATACTGTATAATGTCTTTCCTATGTAGAAGTTAAAATATTCAAACTCAGAGAAGCAAAGAGTAGAAAAATGGTGGTTGCCAGGGCCTGGGAGAAGTGGAAACGGGAAGAAAATGGTTAAAGTATACAAAGTTTCAGCTATGCAAGATACATAAGTTCTGGAGCTCTGCTATACAACATAATGCCTATAGCTAACAATACTGTATTGTGTATTTAAACTTACTAGGAAAGTAGATCTTATGTTTGGTTTTCAAAAAAACGATAGTAATAATAAAAGAGGCCTGAGGAAACTCTAGAAAGTGATAGATTTGGTTATAATTTTGATGATGGTGATGGTTTCATGGGTATACTTATTCCCAGGCTCATCAAGATGTGCATATTGAGTATGTACAGTTTTCTTAATGTTAATTATATCTCAATAAAATGGTTTTAAAATGTAAAATAATAAAAAATAAGTTTTTATATTTTGCCATTTACTTTTCTAATATCATTTGTGCTTAAATTTTGTCCTTTTCCCTGATTTCCATTTTATAAATTTTTTACTTTTATTTGTCAATTATTTTCTTCTCCATTTCTTTATTTTTCTATTCTTATAATGATTTCATAAACTCAATGAACATCTTAGTTTACATATATTTTCTTGTAACTTGGGTGTAGAATCTTATTAATTTTTTGTCTGAACATTTTTATCAGTGTAAAAAAAGATCTGACTACTAGTATTTCACTCTTGTTATTTCTTTTATATTCATGTTTTTATTTTTTTATGAGCTAGAATTTTTTAACATATAGGTTTTCATTTTTTTATTTTTATTTTATTTTATTTTGAGACAGAGTTTCACTCTTGTTGCCCAGGCAATGGCACAATCTTGGCTCGCTGCAACCTCCACATTCCGGGTTCAAGTGATTCTCCTGCCTCAGCCTCCTGAGTCGCTGGGATTACAGGCATGCGCCATCATGCCCAGCTAATTTTGTATTTTAGTAGAGACAGGGTTTCTCCATGTTGGTCAGGCTGGTCTCAAACTCCCGACCTCAGGTGGTTTGGCTGCCTCGGCCTCCCAAAGTGCTGGGATTACAGGCGTGAGCCACCACACCCGGCCGACAGATAGGTTTTAAACATCTGGTTGCTGTTTTATCTATTTTTTGGTCTGTTTCCAATTTCTATTTTTGCTAAAAGTGGTTTTTATTATTTCATTAGTAAAAACTTTTAGGTAATCCTGGCAATATACATACACAAATAAAAATACTTCTTGAGCGATTGCAAAGGTTATTCTGTGTACAGTTTAAGTATTAGAAATACATAACATATATCTGTATATTTGTATCCTGCTATGCAAATGTTATTCAGCTCCTCTATATACTTAATTGTATTGGAGCTATTTTGTCTATTATTGGCTAATAGGTAAATATAATTCCCTGGTGTGTTAATTACCTCTATATTTTTCTAGAGTGTTCTTTATTAATTTTAATGCTCTTCAATTATTTAACACATGTATAATGCTCACTATGTGCTTGACTTAATTAAAAGTTCTTTATAAATAGTACTTAATTCTAGTAGTAACCATTGAAGTAAGTGCTAATATTCAATGGTTATTCAATAGGTGCTATTAGGTGCATTTTAAATTTGAGGAAATTGAGATACTCAGAACTTATGTGGCTGGCCCAAGATCACATAGCTAGTAATTGGTGGAGCTAGAATTTGAATTTAGCTATCTTCTCTGAACCATCCAATGAAGCTATAAAAGAACTTCAAAATACAGAAGTAATAAACAAATTTAGCAGAATTTCAAGATACAAGATTAACACACAAAATCAGTTTTATTCCTATACCCCAGCAGTGAACAATCTGAAAATGAAATTTAAAAATCTATTTACAATAGCATCAAAAATATTTTAGGAATACATTTATTCAATAAGATGCAAGGCTTGCACCCTGAAACTGGTAATGATTACTAAAAGAAATTAAAGAAGACCTAAATAAATGAAGACATGTGTGTTTATGAATTAAAAGACTTTGTGTTTTTAAAATGGCAATATTTCTTAAAACTATCAACATATTCAGTGCAATCTGTCTTAAAATTATAACAGTTTTTTTTTTTTGGAGAATGGAAAACCTGAGCCTAAATTTCATATGTAATTCCAAGATACCACAAACAGCCAAAACAATCTTGACAAAAAAGACTAAAGTTGGAAGATTCACACTCTCTAATTTTAAAACTTGCTACAAAATATACAATAATGAAGAAGATGTGGTACTAACATCAGGATAAAAAAGACAAAGCAATGGAACATGATTGAAATTCAAGCAATTAGATCCATACATCTATGTTCAATTGATATTCAACAAGGATGTCAACATCATTCATCAAAAAATAATAGTCTATTCAACAAATGGTGGTGGGACAACTAGATAACCACATGCAAAAGAATAAGTTTAGGCCCCTATTTCACACTGTATACAAAAATTAACTCAAATAGACCAAAGGTTTAAATATCAGAGGTAAAAATGTAAAACTCTTAGAAGATAATATAGGGGAAAATCTTCATTACCTTGGATTTTGCAATTAATATAAAATCAAAAGCATTTCAACAAAACAGAAAAATAGATAATATGGAGTTAATCAAAATTAAAAACTTTTGTGCATCAAATAACACTATCATAGACAACTTATAGAGTTGGTGGAAATATTTGCAAATCATATATATGATAAGGGTCAAGTACTTTTAATATGTGTAATACTCTTGTGATTGAGCACAAAAAGACAAATAGCCTAATTTTAAAAATGGGCAACATTCTGAGGTACACAATACTCCAAAGTAGATACAAAAAACACACATGAAAAGATGCTCAACATCAGTCATCATTTGGAAAATGAAAATAAAAAACCATAATGAGATACAACATCACATTCATTAAGATGGTAATCATCAAAAAAAAAAAAAGGAAAATTACAAGCATTGGTGAGGATGTGGAGATTTGAAGCCTATTCTGGTGGTGGGAATTTTAAATAGTGAAACCACTGGGGATAACAGTTTGGTGAGTCCTTAAACTTTGAACGGAAAATTACCATATGAATGGTCAATTCTACTTCTAGATATATAGCCCAAAAAACTAAGAACAAGTATTCAAATGCATGACGCAATGTATACAGCAGCACTAGTCAAAATAGCCAAAGGTGGAAACAACCCAAATGTACCCCAATATATTAAAGTATAAATAAAATATGGTATATCTATCTAATGAAATATTATTCAGCCATAAAAAAGGAATGATGTGATGACATGGGCTGCAACATGGATGAACCTTCAACACGTTATGCTGAGTGAAAGAAGCTCACCACAAAAGGACATGTATTATTTGATTCCACCTATTTAGAATTTCCCAAATACATAAATGCTAGAGAAATCAGGCTAGTTGGGACTAGAAGGTGACTGCATAATTGGCACGAGGTTGCCCTTGGGTGTGATGAAAATGTTTTGCAACTAGACAGATGTGATCATTGTACAACGCTGAGAATGTACTCAATGTTACTGAACTATACAGTTTAAATACATGAAAATTATGTAACGTGAATTTACCTCCATTAAAAAAATACTATGGTCCTTCCATTTTCATTAAAGATTGTACATTATAAATTACTTTTTGCAGGGCAGTTCTCTGGGTGGCCTTGGTCCAATCCAGTTTTTCCCTTTTTATTGCTTGTAGTTTTCAATAATAATTTTAAAATGTGCTGAGAATGCAACATCCTGAGATAAGGAGAGACTAGCCAAGAGAGCTCAGGCTGTGTTCTAGTTCTTCCCAGAAACAGGATGTCCTTCAATGCATTGGCCCAGCATGTCATGTTTTCCCTAGAGTACAAAGCCCACGAAGACTGCTTTCTGAATTCCCTGAGCTGGAGTGCAAATTGGGCCACACAGATGAGAGTTCATCTGCCTTGTTTAGCTTCCTGAGTCTTGGAAGTCTGGCTTACCTGAATCCCAGGTTTCTACTGTCCCTTGCTGCCTATTTGTGAATAATAAAGGTGCTTCGCTTAATTTGTATAAGTGTTATCAAAGGACTAGTGCAAGTAGTAGAAATGTCAGCCCAAGATGCAGTGAACTGAGGTGGTATCCAGTGCACAGTGAATCTGCTTAGCACTTTTTTTCTATCAATCATTCCTTTAGAACCTATTTTAACAATAATATTGTAGCCCCTGCTATGTATATATTTGCCATTCACATATATAGGCTTTCAATTTTTAATATTTCTATCTCTTTTAGCTTTCATTATATATCTGATTTTTTTTCATTTCTGATGTTGTTTCTATATAATGTATTTTTACTTTTCTAGTGGTTATATTTAAAATTCTATATTTTATACTTAAAACTGTATTTTTTGAGTTTTAAAATTTAACCCATGACATAGTTGGGATATTTGTCCCTGACAAATGTCATATTGAAATGTAATCCCCAGTGTTGGAGGTGGGACCTGGAGGGAGGTGATTGGATCATGGAGGTGGATCCCTTATGAATGGTTTAGTGCCATCCCCTTGTTGATAAGTAAGTTCCCGCTCACTTAGGTCACATAAGATCTGGTTCTTTAAAAGTCTGGGGCCTCCTCCTTCTCTTCTTTCTCTTGCTCCTGCTCTCTCCATGTGACATCCCTCCCCCGACTTTGCCTTCTGCTTCAGCAAAACTCCTCCCTAGAAGCTGAGCAGATGCTGGCACCATGTCTGTACAGTCTGCAGAACCATGAGCCAATTAAATAGCTTTTCTTATAAATTACCCAGTCTCAGGTATTCCTTTATAACAACACAAGAACGGCCTAATACAACCGGTTTAACTTGACTTCTGAATAACAAAGAGACAATAATTGGCACACACAAACCTTCTCCAGGCTACTCTTCCTCTACTTACAAATTTTCTGGTTTTATTATCATTTTAGTTATTTTAGCTGTTAAGTGGTATACTTAAGTATTTTTAACTTAAATCATAAACCTACTCACATTATACACATTGAGAAAGCCTCTTTACTTTCATTTCACCTCATTTAGGTTATCTCTAATTTTACTATAGTTTATATTTGTTTCTAATTTTTAACATTTGTGTTGTTTTCAGCAACAATCATAGTTAAACTCAGGCACTGTAGTTTTTGGAGTCATTGTTCATCACTAATTTTAACCAAAAAACCCTCAATGCATACCTTAGTTGGTTACAGTTTATTCTCTGGAAGGAGTATTGTGTACTTTACTTACTGAGTTTTGCTTATTTGATAATAGGTATCTGTTACTTGTGTACCCTGAATGCCAGGTTGGCACACACAGGGAGTCAAATATTTGCCATGTTTTCTGATACAGTCTCAAGAACACTATAAAGATTGCTCCTCAGTTTTTTGCCTGGAATGTTGTTATTGCTAAGTCTGAGTTGAACTAAAATTTTAAATCCTTTTTATAGGTGACTTAATCTTTTACTTAAATTCCCTTAGAATTCTTTGTCATTGAAGCTCAGTAACTCAGTGATCCTGATTAGCCTGAATTAATAATCCCCCTCCCTGCTGCCCATTGAGACGAGTCTCTTTAAGGTGTTAATACAGGTCTTCCTTCATTTTAATGTTTTCTCTTTGATTATATATGTAAATTTTTTCTAGGTTTATTTATTCTCTTATCTAAAACACTGGTTTGTTACATACTACTTTCTATAGCTCTAATTTTATTTCTATTTCTTTGTACTCTGCTCATTTCTAACTGGATTTTGTATATTTTCAGACCTTTGACCAATCACCCCTATTTAGGCTAATACTAATTGAATTCTCATTACATGTCTTCCTTTTCTCTTTCAGTTTTGTTCTTGAAATTGGTTTGCTCAGTTTTCATTGCCTATCATTGGTTTTTTGAGCAGCTATTTCACAGAGGCTGTAATTTTTATTGTTCTTTGTTTGCACTGTTTATCTACAAAATGTGATCTACTGTGTGATATAATTTTGTTTTTCTGTTGCTGGCCTTTTGTTTTGGGGATGTCTTGGCCTAGATGCTTTGCTTAGTTCTTTCTCAGTTTCACTCTCCCCTGAGTGGAGGCTGTTCTCCATGGATCAGCTGTTTGTGAAAGTGTTTTTAGAGAGGGGAAAATTTAATGAGCGTAAGAGCCCAGATTAAACATTATTTCAGCGGTTTCAGAATTTCTCTGCCCTTGAAGTAGTAATTAGTCCCCATAGTTCTCAGTCTTCTTTCTTAGGCTCATGGTGTGATAACGTGGCATTTTCTTCTTTTGGCAGCCAAGCCTTTAACTGAAGAGCTGCACACTCCCCGAAGTTTCTCCATCATCCTGGATGTTTCTTGCCAGGATGGTATTTTTGGGTGGGTTCCTTCCCAGTCTATTTTCCCCTGACACACTTCTATGATACATATAGTTTAAGGACATCTCTTTGCTTGTATGTTCACTCAAATATTGTAATTTCAATCAACAATACCTTGAGATGGCCCTTCAGGAAGTGATATCTAACTTGTAATTCTCTGTGTTCCTCTTATTCTGATTTAGTTATGCAGAGACAGTTTTCTCTCTTGCCTCCCTTTTTTGCTCTGGTGTAATGGTTTCTGCTATTGGCAACCTTACTGCATGTTGAATTTTGTTGAGTGTTTTTATTTTTATAAAATATTTTTTCCTATTTTTCATTTTCTCGTCTTGGAGAATTGGACTCAGGAAAAGAGGGAGCAGAGTAACCTTTGCTGTCTTTAAATGGAAGGCAAAAAAGACCTTGATGTGCCTTGCAAAATACTCAGGACACAGAGTAATTAAAAGATAAACTTGATGTTAAAGCAATGACTGAATACATTAGCATGTTTATAATCGTATTCCTTTTCAAAGCCAAGCCTGCAGTCTTATGTCTCCTCCATATATGAAATTATCATATATTCTATTCAGTATGAAATGTACCACTATACAAAATTCATCAAATTTTGTATTAAGTTAAAGTGTTAATATATAATCCTAATAACATATTAGCTTACCTGCAAAGGAAAAAAAGCACATGCTTGATACAAAGAGGGAACTATACCAGACCTTTGTAATATTCTTATTTTAAATATTTTATATTTTTAGGATATTGTCTGGGACTCTAAAATCTAAATTATAAGTGTCTTTATGCATACTATCTAGTATGCATAAAAACAGAACATTTTCTCAAAGTAGATTCTTGTTTGCAAGACAGTACAATATTTCTCAAATACTTTGATTCATGTCAAACTTATTTCCAATGGTTACTGCTCTTCCTTTGTCACCTTTATCACATTGAGGAATTTCCGGATCTATTCAACTTTATGTAATTTTTAAATTATTTTTAGTATTTATCACTGTTATTGCTCATCTCTGTATATGTTTCAGTACTTAGTCCAGTTTTATACATTAAATATGTTTTAGGCATATTTATTTAATTCTACTGAGTTGAATTTACAAACGTCAGACTAAATATTAACATTTACACTCATCAAAATAAAGATTATATGCTAGTTTTCATTATTATACAAAATTGTAAATGCTAAATATATGTATTTTAAATTATTTGCAGTTGCTATAATGTCCTTGAGATGTGATAATTTTGCTTTAAGCCTTAAAATTAATTCAGAAGCTATTTAATCCAATTTCTTTAGTTTGTTTTGAAAGAATCAGGATGCTTTTTCATGTGAAGTAAAAAACAGTGAAAGCTGTGTGCATAATGTTTAAATTGTTGACATGTATTTTGACATGAAAAAAATTGGTCTAGCTTTTGCAGCTCAAGGGTATACATTCATATACACATATATTAAAATTAACTCAAAATTACTGAGTACAACTATATGTAGTAAAGGACTTTATACAAGATTTATTTTTCAACAAAAATATCATCTTCAAATTGTGTGAGTTACTTATTTAGTCGAGGAAACTATCAAGTCTCTTAGGAAAATATAGGCTACTTTTATTTTCTGGGCAGTATGATGATTTTAGCTAATTTGGAGGATCAATACTGTTCTACATCTATACAATATGTTAGGTATTTGATAGAGAAGCATTTAATATATTGAAGAGAAATATAACTATATTTCTCTCATATAGAAATTCTCTCAAATAGAAATTATCTCATATATTTCTCTCATTCTTTTGGCAATGTAAAATATACATACAAGACAAAGAGAAAAAGTTGAATAATTACTTTAATTGACACTTATTAATTCTTAAAGTTTTCTCTTCATAAAACCATGCAAATCATTTAGAAGAGTGACTGGTACTCAATAAATAGTTTTAAATTAGTCTAAATGTTTGTTTAATTTTCTTAAAAGAGTTGAATTGTCCTTTCAACAATAATTAAAATGTGCAACAACAAAAAATAGAACAAAATGAAGAAACTAATCCTTTATATTTTAAAACTGGATCTCTTTAAATAAAAATATTAATAAAATAACATTTGCTGTAATTACAATGTGTGTGTTTGAGTATGTGCACATATGCACTTGGATTTATGTGGAGGTTTGTGAATTTAATAGCAAGGATATACATTTACTGATTGAAATACATTTTGAAAATATTTATAATAATTTGGGTTCTGAGTACTAATATTAGAGCATATTATATCATTACTACATTATAAAAATGGTAAAATTTAAAGTAAACATTCTCCTAAATGGTGTATTTTAATTCCCATCTTCCTTCTTCTTCATCCTCTTATCCTCTTTCAAATGTTCTGTGTGTTTTTCCATGTATCACTTTTTCCATAGCCATATGATACACACACACACACACAAACCATTGGTTTCTAAATCTGGTTACACATTAAATGCACTTTTCTAAATTTTTCTGTTTTCAATTAACTATGCTATGAACATTTTCTCAAAATCTTTTTCTATAATTCATGGGAATTATGGAAGTTTCTAAAAAATTTTCCCAAACTAAAGGTGTTTGATCAACACAAAGGATGAAAAGGAAAGAGAAAAAAACAAACAAAAATACAGAAGTAGTTATTCCACCAAAAAGCAAATGGTAGAGATAAAGACAACCAACCATATCAATATTACACTAAATATAAATGGGCTAAGTAATTTAAATGGAAGAAAAATATTATTAAACTTGAAAAAAGATAACTCACAAGAAGAGATGAACATTTATTACAAAGTAAAGTATCAATATTCACCAAGGTATATCAATTAGGAATATATATATATGAACCTCAGAAGAGGACTTTAAAATATACAAAGCTGGCCAGGCACGGTGGCTCACACCCATAATCCTAGTATTTTGGGAGGCTGAGGTTGGGGGATCACTGAAGGCCAGGAGTTGGAGAACAGTTTGAACAACATGGCTAGACCCTGTCTTTACTAAAAATACAAAAATTAGCTAGGTGTGTTGGTGCATGCCTGTAATCCCAGCTACTCAGGAAGCTGAAGCACAAGAATACCTTGAACCTGGGAGGTGGAGGTTGCAGTGAGCTGAGATCACTCTACTGCACTCCAGCCTGGGTGACAGAGCAAGACTGTCTCAAAAACAAAACAAATAAAATATATGGAGCAAAATTTGATAGCACTTACAGGAAAAATCAATAAAGTCATGATAATGGTTGGAGACCAATTGCCAAACCCACCAAAATAAAAAATAAAAAAAATAATTGTGCATATACATGTTATTACATTAACATGAAAATATATAAAAGGTGCTTATTTGAAATTGTGTATTATTTTCTATTCTTTACTCTTCTATTACATTAATTCTACTATTGAAACAAAACAAAAGGGACTAATTAACAGTAGCAACTAATAGTAACTAATAATAGACAAAAAGTGTGAGAAAATAGTACAACATTTTTACAATGCTTCTTCTGATACAGCAATTCATTTTTAACTTTTCAACTCTGTTGGGTATTTAAATTTTAATCTATACTATTTGTGTCTTTTTAAGATGCATAGATTTAATACTTCTTAAAAGGAGACAACAAACACCATATGTAGGGCTAATTAAGCAGGTATTAACTATATTTAATACAAAATATTAATGTCGTATATATTAGTTATCTATTGCCAAATAATGCTTAGCACAAACTTAGCAGTTTAAAACAACACACATTTATCACCTTATATTTTATGCAGGTAATAAATCTGGGCACAGACTAGCCAGGTCCTGTTCAAGACTGAAATCAAGATGGTAGTCAGAGTTGAATTCTCATCTGAAAACTCAACTGATGAAGAATCCGTTTCCATGCTCATATGGTTGTTGGTAGTGTTACAGTAGGTAGTCAGGCAGACATAAGCAGGACAGAGAGGGCTCCTCCCGCCCAGCCAAGAATGTCAGGTGATCATCAGGTGATAGTCTAAAACAATTGCTTGCAGCCAGTACCAGGGAAAGGCAGTCTCCCAATAGATAGAAAAAACTTGAAACTGGTAATCAGCAGCTTCCCAATAAGATCTCAGGAGTGGGGCAAGTGGGCTCAAGCATGCACATTAAGAGGCAAAATGGTGGAGTTTAACTGGTATATGGAACATTAGGCTGGTAAGGGAAGAATGCTTCAAGTGGGCATGTGTACAACTCTAGAAAGCCCACTGCACTTGTGCTTCCTCCCAAGTGCTAGCAGAACACTGCACATGTGGACAGCCCATCCCAAGGGAAGAATCACAGGAGAAGGGACGCACGACCCTGGAAGTATGCCATTGTATAAAACTCCAAGTCAAAGATCAAACAGGGCACTTGATTTCTCAAGTTGCCTGCTTGGGCCTCTTTCAAGTATACTTTACTTCCGTTCATTCATGCCCTAAAACTTTTTAATAAGCTCTCAATCCTGCTCTAAAAATTGCCTTGTTCTCTCACTCTGCCTTGTAACCCCTGGGTCAAATTCTTTCTTCTGAGGAGGCAAGGAGGTTGCCGTAGATCCTTACAGAT
The DNA here is from genome assembly GCF_000001405.40 of Homo sapiens. Taxonomy (NCBI): domain Eukaryota; kingdom Metazoa; phylum Chordata; class Mammalia; order Primates; family Hominidae; genus Homo; species Homo sapiens. The sequence continues at coordinate 137,875,642 of NC_000004.12, read as the reverse complement.
TTGCTGCCTGTATCAGTAGGATTCCACTTCTTGTGAGCTGTTGGATTGAGGAACTGTTTCTTGCTGTTATTCAGAAGCTTTTCTCTTTTTTCCCTGCAAAGTAGCTTCTTCATAGGGTGGCTTACAACATGCCAGCTTGTTTCTTCAAAATGAACAGGGGAGAGAGTCATGTAGAAAAAAGAGTGCTTCAATCTTATGTATCACAATCACAAAAGTAAAATCATATCACCTTTGCCATATTCTACTGGTTGAAAGCAGTCACAAGTACTTCCCACACTCACGGGTAGGGGGTCACAAAGTGAGAAGTGGGAATCATAGCAGCCACCTTAGAATGTGTCAGGCCAATATGTTTCTTTCTGTCCCATAATACAGTAGGAAAATTTTACTCTTTACATGTTTCTTTTTAAAGTCTATGTCTCTGAACTTCCTACATCCTTTAGTATATCATTTTTTTTAATGTAGCAAATCACACTTTTCAGTCATGTATACAAGGTGAGAAGAGAGGGCATTTAGCAAGTAAAATCTTTCCGTTTTGTTTTAAAATAAACTTATAGTAGTGGTAAACAGAAACAAATGCACGTGGAAATGGAATACTCAGGATTGTACTTACCAGCAACAGGTTTTTAGACTTAGAAATTAGTGTTTAGCACCAATTTCTAAATTAGGGATTTGTGTCATATCCATAGGCTTGTTTTGTTAGATCACCTGCTGTCTGCCAATCAGACAGATGGACTTTACGTCAAAAACTGTCATAAGAGACAAATAAGGTCATTATATAGTAAGAAGCCAGTTTATCAAGTGGATATAACAATTGTAACTATATATGTGCCCAGTAAATTGTAGAACCTAAATATATAAAGGAAGTATCAACAGAGCTGAAAAGTTAAATCAACAGTAATATAATAACAGTAGAAAGAACAAAAGAACTACAAAACACTCAGAAAACAATTTTACAAAGTGGCAAAGACATTAACATGTCAAAGACACCAATATCAAAGATATTGATAGGTAAATATAGTAAGTCCTCACCTATCAATAATTACTTTAAATGTACATAGATTAACTTTTCCATGAAAATACGGAGTGGCTAAATGGGAAAACAAGATCTAAGTATACGCTGCCTATATGAGACTCACTTTAACTTTGAGAACCCACATAGACTAAAAGTGAAGGATAGAAAAGGATATCCCATGCAGATGGTAATCAAAAGAGATCTTTCGTGACTATACTTACATCAGAAAAAAAATAGAATTTAAGTAAAAAAAAATTGCCACAAGGGACAAAGAAGGACATTATATCATAAACAGTGGTAAATTTATCAAATGTCAAATGGACATAGCAATTATTAAAATATGCACACCCAACACTGGAATGCTTAATTAAATAAAGCAAATATTAACAGAACTGAAGAAAGGCAGAAATATAATCAAATACAATAATGGAAAAATATCTTGAGTCAAAAATAGAAACACAACGTACCAAAACTTATGGGATGCAGCAAAAATAATTCTAATAAGGAATTCTTTAATGATAAATACCTACCATGAGAAAAAGATCTGAAAAAACAATATAACTTTATACTTCAAGGAAATAAAAGAAAGAAGAAAAATAGAAAACATACCAAGCCCAAAGTTAGAAGACAGAAGGAAAAAATAAAGATCAGAGCAGAAATACATATCATAGAGATTAGAAAATCAATAGAAAATATAAACCTTTAGATGGCCTAATAAAAAAAGACTCAACTTATAAATGAAAGAGGAGATATTATAACTATTACAGAAATACAAAGGATTATAAGAAACTACTTGGAATAGTTATAAGTCAACAAATTAAATAACCAGAATAAATAGATAAATTCTTAGAAACATACAACTTACCAAGTCTGAAAATAAAAAAAATAGAAAATTAAAGCAGACCAGTAGTGAATAAGATAGTAGGAACAGTAATGAAAATCTTCCAACAACAACAACAAAAATGCCTGGGACCTGATGGCCAATCCTTCTCAAACTCTTCCAAAAAATTAGAGAGGAGAGAATACTTTCAATCTCATTTTATGAGGGTAGCAATACTTTGATATTAAAGGCAGACCAAAGACACTTCCAGAAAAAAAAAATTATAGGCCAATATCCCTGATGAACACAGATGCAAAAATTCTTCACAAAATACTAGCAAACTAAATTCAACAGCACATTATAAGTATAATATAGCATGATCAAATAGGATTTATCCTTGGGATGCAAGATGGTTCAAGATACACAAATCAATAAATATAATACACCACATTAACAGAATGAAGGATAAAAATTGTATGGTCACCTCAATACTTCTAATAAAAGTATGAAACAAAATCCAACATCTCTTTATAATAAGAACTCTTAAATTAGATTTAGAAAGCCAGGTGGATGGGAGAAACTGCAATCATAAATAAAGAGATCAGGGTAAAATCAAATGAGAAGGGGAGTTTAATCGAAGTTGTAAAAAGGGAACAACAGCAAGCATGTAGATCTAGGGGGGACAACATTCCAAGCACAGGAAGCAATCAATTCAAAGACTCTAAGCAGAAGAATGCAGAAATATTCAAGAAAAATGAGGAAAGTCAATGCGCTTGAGCATGGTGAGCAAGAGTAGTATTATAAAAAGATGAAGACAATAAGAGATGTGCATGAGGATGATTATCAGTAATTTAAGAGCTCATTCTGTATACTTCTAAATGAAATAAATTTGAAGGGACAGTATAGGAAAAGCATAGGACCCCCTTCCCTCTCTTCTTTGTTCATATATGTTCAACTCCTATAAAGCAGGAACTTGAAAAATGCCTCCTGAAGAGAGTAGTCGAATTGTTATAGTTTATAATGTTTGGAGAAATAATGGCAATATACAACTGAAATATATTACAGATAATGCTGATGCTTCTATACATGGTTGAGTTGTAAAAGCTGTGCTAATTAAAATAAGAGTCATGCACACTTTCACACTAAATCTGTTTTTGGTAATTATTTTTCTGTGAGAACATAGTTTATTTTTGCATATTTGTGCATTCAGATTCACATGATCTGCCCCAGATCCAGTGTGAAAGGAAAATGCATTGTAAACTAATATTGACCTAAGAAAAAATAAAGAGTTGGTCCAAAATCCTATTAGACAAAGGATGCACACATCCTAAATAGAAGAACCATTTGTACAACAAAATGTCATTAAGGACTGAGACTGAAAATCCGACCCCATTAAGAAGAAAACAAACAATAGTATTAACACCAGAGAATTATATATATGTGACATTTTCTGAAGATATGTACAAATGCTTGGCAGAAATCCATCATATCCACATCTCATTGTGTTTTATATTCTACACGAGAACATAATGTATTATATTCTAAATATTCTATTTTTTTGTGACGCACATCAAAACAAGGTTCACAGCAGATGTTTAAAGATATTTTTAGTGACTCTCCTGATACAAAACACTCAATGAATAAATTTAATTATATTTTACAATTATAGTCAATGGCACTGGTGAGGTATACCATATACTTATATATATTTTAAAATCTAAATGTATGTTTACTCAGTGAAGCCCCTTATGATTGATGTCATTGAATTCAGGTAGCTGGGGAGAATGTTTGCACAGATGTATGTATCAAGAATTTTTTCTTATTATTCACATTGGTATGCCAGCTAACGTGTTCCCTGTCTTCAGGAAGGGATTCTGAACAGCAGCAGTAACCTAAGCAAAGTGGGATATAAAGCAATTTAATAAAGACATGGAAGTGGGGATGAAACTTGTTTTTGCAGAATATTATCCAACATTATCTTATTTGCTGTTTGTAGGCATTTTGAAATGTAACTAAAGAATTTAAGTTGTAATTACTGTTTTAACCCACTTAGCTATGGCAAGTTTGCTTTGAAAGTTTTCTAAGATATCTAAAACATTGAATATTATTATTAAAACATATGCCATATTTTTATTAGGAAATCATAGGCACTCTTCTTATATATTATTTCTGTTCAATATCACAATTTATGCATTAGTTTCCCTGTGGCAATAGTTATAAATAATGCTAACTTAGAACTAGGAGCCATTTACAGAGTAAACAGGACCGACCACAGATGTTTTCTATGGTAAGTTAAAGCCCTTAGCCATTATGATAAATTATGGAATAATCTTGTTGTGTATGTGGCCCACATATCCTGATACTGTATTATTGGTAATTGGGTTTTTGTTGCTTTTGTTGATCAACATTGCTAAGAATTTATTCATTTTATTATCTTTTGAAAGAACTGGCATTCCTCTTTTTATACTTTATTATTTCTCTATTTATAATTTCTTAAAAAATTATTTTGCTCTTATTTTATTTGGTTCTACTTATTTTAGATTTAGTTTGATCTTTTTCTAGCTTCTTAAATTGGAAACTTAAAAATTAACATTAAAGCCATATTTTATCTAACATAAACATTTACATATAAATTACCCTGAAGCTCTGCTTTATATGCATTCCACATATTTACATATGTTAGATTTTCACTATCTTTCGGCTTTATGATGTTTTCTTGTTCTGTGTTTTCTTTATTAAGGCAGTGGATTATTTAGAAGTATGATGTTTAATTTTTATATATTCGAGATTTTCTATTACTAAATTTTAATTTAATTCTATTATAACCAGAGAACATGCCCTATGTGACTTAAATCATCTTAAACTTAATAAGATTCGTTTCATGGTCCAGCCTTTGGCCTGAATTAGTGAATGTTCCATGTGCTCTTGAAAATAACGCATATTATACAGTTGTTGGAAGTAGTGTCCTAGAAGTGTCAAGTAGGTATTTGGTATTGTTCAAATCTTCCTTATGCTTACTAGTTTTTTTGGTCTGGTTTTTTGATCACTTATAAAAATGAAGTTGACTCACACCTGTAATCCCAGCAGTTTGGGAGGCCGAGGCGGGCGGATCACCAGGTCAAGGGATGGAGACCATTCTGCCTAACACGGTGAAACCCCGTCCCTACTAAAAATACAAAAAAATTAGCCGGGTATGGTGGTGCATGCCTGTAGTCCCAGCTATCCAGGAGGCTGAGGCAGGACAATCATTTGAACCCAGGGCGCGGAGGTTATAGTGAGCCAAGATCACACCACTGCACTCCAGCCTGGGCAACAGAGCAAGACTCCGTCTCAAAAAAAAAAAAAAAATGAAGTTGAAATATCTAGCCATAAATAAGTATTGTTTAAATTTCCTGCTTTAGTTATATCAATTTTTCCTTCATATATGTTGAATCTCTGTTATCAGATAGATATTTATAATTTTTTGAATTGACCCTTTTATTATTATAAAACATCAAACCTTTTCCTCTGGTAATTTTTCTTATCTTGACATCTACTTTGTCTGATATTAATATAGCAAAGCAAACTTTCTTGTGATTAGTGTTTTTGTGGTGTATCTTTTCCATTCTTTTGCTTTTAACGTATCATAATATTTAATGTAGCTTTGTGAAGAGCATATAGTTTTTTTAATCCAGATATAAAACTTTTGCCTTTGAATGGAAGTTTTTAAGCCCTTCAACATTTAATATAATAATTAATATGGCTGAATTTAAGGCTAAGATCTTGCGATTTTTTTCTTTTTATTTCATCCATTGTTTGTTTACTTGTTTTTTGGTTCTTCCTTTTCTGATTTCTTTTGGTTTGATGAAACAATTTTAGTACTCATATCACATATTGTAATACATTTTAATTCTACATATGTTATCGGCCCTACTATAATATTTTTTGTTTTCATAATAGAGTTTAAACAACTTAAACTGTTTTTTAAAAACATAAACTTTTATATTTAACCACATATTTGCTGTATCTAGTACTTTGTATTCTTTTCTATAGATCTAAGTTTATCTGTGGTATAATTTTCCTTCAGCCTGAAGAACTACTTTTGTATATCTTGTAGTATGGATCTTGTAGTATAAATTTTTTTTTTATTGAAAATGTCTTTGCTTTAATTCTTGAAGGATACTTATGCTGCATATATAATTGTAGTTTGAAAATTTTTGTTTCTGTTTTCTGTCTTAACACTTTAAAGATGTTCTCTCTGTCTTCTGGCTCTTATTTTATCTGATGAGAATTAAGCCATAATTCTTATCATTGTTGTACTGTACTTAAAGTTTTTTTTTACCTATAGCTTATTTTTTTTTTGGTATTATCCATGGCTTTAAGTAATTTAACTATAGTATACCTCGTTATCAATTTTTAATTTATTCAGTTGATTTTATTAAATTTTCTGGCTCAATAGAGCTGAAATTGTTTATTAAATTTGGAAAAATAATTGACCATTTTTTCTTCTAATTTTTTATGCCTGAATATTTCTCTGTATCTGTCTTCTTTATTCTCTCTCTCACTCTCCTCTTTTTTCTGACTTCATTTGCTAGCATATCGAATGAATCGTATTTTAGTTTAAATTTACTTCTTGAAACACCCAAAATCTTCATCTTTTCCTGTAAATTATTTAACTTAATCATAATAGTTACTTTTAATTTTTTTTGTTGACTCATTGCAAACACTTGTTCATCAATAGATCTGTTTTTATTAACACTATTTTGTCCTACAATGGTATATAAATACAATGGAATACTAATCAGCCATAAAAAGGAATGCATTAATGGCATTCACAGCAACCTGAATGAGATTGGAGACTATTATTCTAAATGAAGTGACTCAGGAATGGAAAACCAAACATTGTATGTTCTCACTCCTAAGTGTGAGTTGAGCTATGAGGATGCAAAGGCACAAGAATGACACAAGGGACTCTGGGGACTCAAGGAAATGGTGGGAAGGGGGTGAGGGATAAAACACTACAAATTGGGTGCTGTGTATACTGCTCGGGTGATGGGTGCACCAAAATCTCACAAATCACCACTAAATAATTTACTCATGTAACTAAATGCAATAACCTATGGAAATAAAAAAATTAAAAAAATTTTTTTCTCTTTATTATTCTTTTTTTTATGGATGGTGTTAGGAAGAGTTTTTTTTTAATTATTATACTTTAAGTTTTAGGGTACATGTGCACAACGTGCAGGTCTGTTACATACGTATACATGTGCCATGTTGGTGTGCTGCACCCATTAACTAGTCATTTAACATTAGGTATATCTCCTAATGCTATCCCTCCCCCCACCCCACAACAGGCCCCAGTGTGTGATGTTCCCCTTCCTGTGTCCATGTGTTCTCATTGTTCAATTCCCACCTATGAGTGAGAACATGCGGTGTTTGGTTTTTTTGTCCTTGTGATAGTTTGCTGAGAATGATGGTTTCTAGCTTCATCCATGTCCCTACAAAGGAAATGAACTCATCCTTTTTCATGGCTGCATAGTATTCCATGGTGTATATGTGCCACATTTTCTTAATCCAGTCTATCGTTGTTGGACATTTGGCTTGGTTCCAAGTCTTTGCTATTATGAATAGTGCCACAATAAACATACATGTGCATGTGTCTTTATAGCAGCATGTTTTATAATCCTTTGGGTATATACCCAGTAATGGGATGGCTGGGTCAAATGGTATTTCTAGTTCTAGATCCCTGAGGAATCGCCACACTGACTTCCACAATGGTTGAACTAGTTTACAGTCCCACCAACAGTGTAAAAGTGTTCCTATTTCTCCACATCCTCTCCAGCACCTGTTGTTTCCTGACTTTTTAATGATTGCCATTCTAACTGGTGTGAGATGGTATCTCATTGTGGTTTTGATTTGCATTTCTCTGATGGCCAGTGATGATGAGCATTTTTTCATGTGTCTTTTGGCTGCATAGATGTCTTCTTTTGAGAAACGTCTGTTCATATCCTTTGCCCACTTTTCGGTGGGGTTGTTTGTTTTTTTCTTGTAAATTTGTTGGAGTTCATTGTAGATTCTGGATATTATCCCTTTGTCAGATGAGTAGATTGCAAAAATTTTCTCCCATTCTGTAGGTTGCCTGTTCACTCTGATGGTAGTTTCTTTTGCTGTGCAGAAGCTCTTTAGTTTAATTAGATCCCATTTGTCCATTTTGGCTTCTGTTGCCATTGCTTTTGGTGTTTTAGACATGAAGTCCTTGCCCATGCCTATGTCCTGAATGGTATTGCCTAGGTTTTCTTCCAGGGTTTTTATGGTTTTAGGTCTGACATTTAAGTCTTTAATCCATCTTGAATTAATTTTTGTATAAGGTGTAAGAAGGAATCCAATTTCAGCTTTCTACATATGGCTAGCCAGTTTTCCCAGCACCATTTATTAAATAGTGAATCCTTTCCCCATTTCTTGTTTTTGTCAGGTTTGTCAAAGCTCAGATAGTTGTAGATATGTGGCATTATTTCTGAGGGCTCTGTTCTGTTCCATTGGTCTATATCTCTGTTTTGGTACCAGTACCATGCTGTTTTGGTTTTTATTGTTCTTATATTTTCTGCTTCTTTATGTTTCTGGACTTTTTTTATTGTAGCATGCACATTGTATAAAAACTGATGTATAAAATATTTTAAAATTTATTTATATTTTTGTTTATTTAAACTCTTTTCTCTGACAAGTTGTTAAGAGTGCCAGGCTGATTATTCAGAAATTTACTTAAATCAATTTGAGTAAATTGATTTACTCAAAGGTGACAGCTTTAATTAGAATGAGTTCACTTGTGAATGGACAACTTAAACCTCCCAAGCTGCTGCCTTTTTAGCTGGGAAGGGGATGGTTGCAGTTTAATATACTTTCACTTCCGTTAGGGACTGAAAACACATGAATAGCACTATGGTGGTACGTGATTTTTCTCTGTTGATGTTTGCTGATGCTTTCTTGGCAAAAACTGAGGGAAAGGAACTGCTTTCCCTAATGATCCATCCTTGTGTTTATAACTGTTTGAAATTCTTATTTGTTCTGCCTACCCACACTGTATTCCAAGGACTCTGGTTGATTTTCCCTCATTCCCATAAAATATTTCTATGACAAGCCCCTAACATTCCCACGCTAGAGGCCCATCTCCAGGTCTGGAAGGTTATAGTTGCTCTCTGAGCTTCTCTCTCTAGACTTCAGTTCACAAGAAATCTCTTACTCACCACTTTTCACTGGCCGCGTTTTTTTAAAAAAGTATGATTGGCCGGGTGCGGTAGCTTAGGCCTGTAATCCCAGCATTTTGGGAGGCCAAGTTGGGTGGATCGATTGAAGTCAGGAGTTCGAGACCAGCCTGGCCAACACTGTGAAACCCCGTCTCTAATAAAAAAAAATGCAAAAATTAGCCGGATGTGGTGGCTCATGCCTGTAATCCCAACTACTTGGGAGGCTGAGGCAGCAGAATCACTTGAACCCGGGAGGCGGAGGTTGCAGTAAGCCAAGGTCGCGCCACTGCACTCTATCCAGCTTGGGAGACAGAGCAAGACTCCGTCTCAAAACATAAAAATAAAAAAATAAAAAATAAAAGAAGTATTATTTGTATTTTCCCAGATTTAACTTGTTTTCACCACAAGAGAAAGGTCTTTTTCTGCCTTCCTATCTCCTAACTCCAAATGAAAGTTCTTCACTCCCTGTATGCCAAAAAAAAATCAGCTTAGAATTGAGATTCATTTTACTCCTAAAGAATGGGAACAGTGTCTTATTTATCTTTATGTTCCCAATACATAGAATTGTTCTTTAAAAAGTTTGAAAAAATAAAAAATGATTCTTATACCACCCAAATAGTGGGAAGAGTTGTTATGTGTTTAAAGTTGAAATACTGACAACGACTCAGGATATTTTTAGAGATTTTCTTAGAATAGTCAATGAGTAAAATTCCACACATAGACTTGACTGTATAGAAAACTAACAAAACTTAATCAAGGAAACCTGAAAGAAAATAGTGGTTTAGACAAGACTCATTTTCACGTTGATATGCACTATCATTATCATTTTATTATTATCTTCAACATCACAACTGGCGTTTATTGAGTTTGTTATGAACCCATCTTTATGTTGAGATTTTTATGAGCTGTCTCATTTAATATTCATAAAAATGTTATAGGAAAATTACTATTATAAAAAGCAACTTAAATGAAAGAGTAAAAAATTGCAATGAATCTTTAATTTTTAATTCAACATTTCTCAATATTTATACAGAGATATCCAATGGGAAATAAACTCGAGCACATTGATATATTTTTAGCTGTGATTCTCAACTGGTGATTGTAATATATTAAATTTAAATAATGCATAAAACTTGGCAAATATAAATGTGAGTTTTTCTGCAACCCACCTTCTAGTCTGCATTCCATTGAAAAAAATTGTGTCTTATATAAATATAAATAATTATGTGAGTGGCATTTTCAGAGAAGGATTCCTTCTTTAATGTATTAATAGAATCGATGTAGAAGTGATTGTATCGGCATACACACAATAATACATAACATGATATTTAATTTTCTTTTGTACTAACCCATGGAGTGTCTTCTTGACATGAGAAATATGGGGGAAAATTAGTGAAACAGAGAGCTTATGTAAAAATAAAATTTCATGTCAGTATTCCTTATAAAAATAAATGAATTAAGAATATCCTGCCACTTTCAACTATATGCTTCTGTCATGAGGTTTTATACTATATTGCATAACTTAATCATTAAATGTGCCATATATAAAAATATATATCCACATATAAAAATATATAAAATTATATATATATATATATATATATATATATTTTGGTTGTAAGCCTCAGAAACCACTTTAGCTAATTTAACAAATTGAAATTTACCAAAAACCAGAATTCACTTGAAGGATAAAGTGTTTTGTAGAGTCAAAGGGGTATTCATTAATCAAACTCAGAAAGTTTCAGGAATCAGGGAATATCAAGATTTCCAGATAGTAGGAGCTAATTTCTTCAAGCACCTCCACTGATATAATGTGGCCTAAGAGGAAAATCTCAGGGCGAGAGAGTCCACTTGGCTTAATCTGGGTTAAGTGTCAACTTCTTGGAGGGTAGAGGGCAGAGCACCTTGAATTACAGAATTTATCAAAGGCAAATTTTACTACTGTGAACAGAACAAAGGGGTTGTCGGTACATGTGGCTTAAGGCGTCAAATGTCTGATATCACTTAGAAGAAGAGTATATGCAGAAGTAGCATACGAGTGGAGAAATATTAAATGAGTAATTTAGCAGGTTATAGTCTACTAATTTATAGTAGAGGAGAATATTACCATTATTAAATACCTTTCCATATTTATTTTGTATTTGCAAAATATTCAAAGGTATTGGGAACTTAGCTTCCAAGTAAGGAAGTAAAGTGGTACATTTAGAAGTCAGTAATAAAAGGTAGTGGTTTGCATTTTTGAAGGCTAAACTTCATATTTCTGAGGTAGGAAAGATTTTTAAAAATGGCATTCTTCCTTGTTTAACTTTAGTCTATTATATTTCTTGGTGTTAGCACACTTTCAGCAGCTTTCCATCATTATGTCAGGGTAGTACTTCATAATATTTTTCACATTTTCTGCCTCATATATCAAACTATAGAATTTTCTCCATAAGGCAGAGCTGTCTTTCTGTAAAATTTTTAGCGAAGTTCTCATTTTTATCTGACATCTAGAAATACCTAAAGTAATAAAAAATCATTCTTACCTCATATTTGCTTTGGTTTTCATTCTGTCCCTGTCAGTCTATATACAGTATAGCAAGAGAAGAGTTATATAACATCCTTTTGGGTGTTCTAGAATCAGACAAAGAATCCTAACCTTAGCTGGTTTTTTTCCCACAGAATTTTATATAAAAGTATAACATCTATACTTAAAATAATACCCTCGTCATGAAACTTTACTTTTTTGCCATGAATAATTTTTCTCCATTAAATAGAAGTTTACATATATAAACCTGTGTATCTATATATGTACTGTATATGTATGTACACATATGCACATACATATACATATATACACATACAGTTTATATATAAAAATCCACAACCACAAGGATAAAAAGACTTCATTTCTTTAAGAATGTTACTATTTTGAGCAATTTAATGAACATATAAGGAAATTACATTTATGTTGCTTAGTGTTATCTCATAATAGCTTTCAACTAGCTATCAAGATATTTGTAAAATATGATTTTACCAAACATCCAAGTTTCAGCTGAATTCTGAGAATGCAAACTAAGCACTAAAATGAATCCTTATTTTCAAACAACTTTTTCCCAAAGTGGTTTCATTAAAAATATACATCTAATACTAACATTTTTAACTTCAGGGCATAAGACTTTGAAATGATTAGTTGTAAAAGCAAGCGGTAATACCTGAAATTAATTCAGGTAATTAATAATTACCTGAATATCTAAAATGTTATATAATCTTTATAAATACAATTATGTTTTTTTAATAGTTTTATTATGAACAATAAACATATTTTATGGCGTACTTACCATGTGCCAAACACCATGTAAATGCATTAACTCAGTGGATCCCCAAATAAAGCTGGGTATGGCTGATATTCTTACTTAATATTGAGGAGATTGAGGCTTAGAGATGTTATCCAATTTTTCCAAGTCCATAAGGCTTGGAATAGTACAGCTGCCATTTGAACTTCAGCAGTCAAACTTCAACTCTCTGTCTCAATCACTCAGCAATATTACATCACATAAAGAAGTAACTTCATTGCACAGAAACCAAAGAACACCGCGCTGAAAATATTCCAATATGTTTTAATCAAATTTATAATTTTCCTAGCCTTGACTTCATAACAGGGCCAAAAGGATAGTATAGATGATATATTTCATTATTCCAATCAATAATCTGTTTTGACATAAAAATAAACTCCAAAACAGAGTTATAAAAGTAATCAATACACACCATAAGAAAATACACCTTTTAGTATATTTCCAGTTGGTGCACCTGAGAGGACTAGTTTTGTGTTCTAAGATGGAGACCAGAATGATCCGTGGAGCTTGAGAAGTGATACATGCTCTTACCTTCTCAATATACCTTATCATGTTAATAATAGAATGCTGAAGTCAGCTTACTTTTATTTATTTTAGTGTTTTCAAATTTATTTAAAATAATCAGTGAGTAAGTACATAATTTGGAAAATGTCACTGAAGAGAAAGTGAAAAATCTAATTTCTATGATACAATGTGAGAAGTTTGGTTTGAATGTTCTGACTAGGAGATATTAGATCTTCTAAAAGCAGTCATAGACATAAAATCAGATAAAGTGACTAGCTGTCATGAAGAATTGCTAGAGAGTATAAGTGATTATTTCTGAATGCCAAGGATATAATTGAGCTGACTAGGATTTGCAAAAATACATTAATGCATTATCAATTTATAAAGATGTTTTATAATTGTTGTATTTCACTGTTTGTTTTGCATGTGAAATTAGATGAACAGACAAAACCAAAGTAGTTTATAGTATTTCCAAAAGTTTCTTTTACTAAAGATTCTAGTTATCATACTTATTTAAATGGATGACAACATCAGGTTTTTTTGCGTTAAATAATAGCAATACAGAGGTTACCTTCACTCATAGCATAAGATGAAGGTTTTTTTTTACGTTTGATTTAGTCTTTCATTATAAAGATACAAACCAAAAAGTGCATTCAAATTTTATTTTTAATGATTATAATATTGAATAGTTTTCTGCATTTCTAAATAATTTTATTCATCACAGCTTGGTTTTGTAATAATGTCTACATTTTGCTTCAAAATTAATTTTAATATACACAGGATACATAGAAATATTTTTCTTTAAATAATTGAATTTTTAAAATGTTTTTGCATTTCCAGATGTGATTCTGTAATTTAGATAATATGACACCAGGTGGCAGGAGTGTGTCCATAACCAAATTGAAACAGCCATTTTTTTCTAGCAGTTGACAAAACACTACATTTTGCATTTATTTATAAAAATATAACTATTAGATGACCAATACAGTAGCAATGAATATATATTCTCTTGAAACTTGATGCTTTTAGTCATATGTTTTTAAAGGTAAAGAAGAAAAAGAAATGATCTTTTGTCCAGATGAACTTGCAAATGGAATTTCAGATTTTCATTATGTAGATTTTTTCATTTTTAATTAAAATAACTGAATGACCAAGAAAGTGCTCCACTTTTATTATTCTACCATTGAGACATTGGGCTTTGGTAACTCCTAAAGTGATGGATTTGATATACGAATCTTTCCCACAAAAAAACAGTGCAATTTCTTCATGCTTTGTCCATTTTACCTTATCCACTAATACTGAATCCCAGGTGAGAGTTAAATTATGCATCTCCATTTTCAGATGTCAGCCTCTTAAATAATCATCTTCCCATGGCTGTTTGGGCACATTATCACTTCCTAAAGTAATGACATCCACTCAGAGGTTGTTGGAAGAATTTCTCATACTGTGTTTGTCTTTACTCTCTGTTGGTTGTCACTTGCCTGTTCTTTTCCAATGATATCTACCTTTTAAATTAGTGAAAATTTTGTGTTTTCCTGGCCAATTATCCTGATTCTTGAAACTTAAGGGCTAATGGAGCATCATGGAAAAATCACTACAATATAGGAATCTGAGTCAAACTCCAGTTTCTGCCACATTCTAGCCATTTCTTCACATCTTTGGGTTTCTGGGCTATATATGTACATATACGTACAAAATTCTGAACTTGAACTGGATAGTAATGTTTCATTCTACTTTTAATATTCTCTAATTCTAGTTGTCACTGGCTATAACACTGATGAATTAGATGTGGTTAATTTACTTTGATAATAATACATGTTTTATGATAATCATTACAATCAATATGTCTGGCATGATTTTTAACAATGTAATTCTTTATGTATTTCATTAGGCAATGTTTCTTAGCCCTCATGGTCTGTAAATATATTGAAATAAATTTCAATCACAGTGAATTGTACCAACATTAAATGAGAAGATGCAGGGCATTTCAAATTGGCATAGGTCAATTTTGGGGTGGGAGCAACACTTTGCTAGAGTCCATATGAGCAATTAGAGAGACCAAAAGTACATTATCTACCATGCTCACTGGCAAAACAGCAGGCCTAGATAAATACTTTTCTATTCAAATATGAGTAAGATAAAAACATTTTTTAAAGCATAACCTCCTTCAAGAAAAACAATTAGGAGAAAAGCAGACACAAAGCATATCCGTACAAATAATTTCTAAAATTAAAATATGAAAGTATCATATTATATGCTTGGTGTTATCAAATATATCAAAGAAGAAATGACCTCTAAGAAACAAGAGCTTGAACCCATAATAGAAAAGAAAAATTGGGATGAAGACAAAAATGCAAAGAAAATAAACTGATGTTAAAAAATAAAAAAGCTTAAAAATACAAACTATCCTAGTGGGGAAGGCCATATCTGAAATTTATGGAAAATTTAATCAATGATTTGATTCATAAACTTAAACATAAAAGACTTACCAATAATGCAGTGGGAGAAGATTGAAATTGATTTCAATGAAACAGTTGGTTTGGATATTGAAGAACAGAGAATGGTAATCTAATCTAACATTACAGTTCCTGCAGAAAGGCAACCAACAAGAAATGGGAGATTTTCTAAAACTTTTGCATTTATTAACATATTTAATTTTTATAATTACTTGGTGAAATAGGTGCTATTATTGTCCCCCTGTTATGGATAAAGAAACTAAGAAACAGTGTTTAAGATATTTACAGAGGGTAACATAGACAATAAGGGGAGAGTCAGGATTAAAACCCAGCTGGTCTGACTCCAGAGCATGTTCTTTTACCTAGTATTTCATTATATTATAATAAAAATGAAAAAGGAAGAAAAAACTTTGCTACTAATGTGATAAACGTTTTATATTATTATGTACACAATTCTTAAATACATATAGGAGAAACATCATTAAAAATACAAAATATAAGGCCAGTGCAGTGGCTTACACCTAAACTTCAGCACTTTGGGAGTCCGAGCCAGGTGGATCACTTGAGGCCAGGAGTTCAAGACCAGCCTGGTCAACATGGAGAAATGCTGTTTCTACTAAAAATACAAAAATTAGCTGGGTGTGGTAGTGGACGCCTGTAATCCCAGCTACTAGGGAGGCTGAGGGAGGACAATTTCTTGAACCCTGGAGGCGGAAGTTGCAGTGAGCCGAGATTGTGCAACTGCACTCCAGCCTGGGCAACAGAGCAAGATTCTGTCTCAAAAAAGAAAACAACAGCAACAACAAAAACCTCAAAATATAGAGATTCCATTTTTTAAATCAAACATAAATCTAAAAAATAATTAATTCATCCTAGGGAAGACAGTTGTTTTCATATAAAATATCAGATTTCTGAGAATTTTCTAGAAAGCAATTTGACTATATGCATCAGAAACTTTACAAAACTTTTAGATTTGGCCTTTGGTCCAGGGATTTTGAATCTAATGGGTTCCCTAAGAAAATACATAGCAATGAAGAATCCAAAATATTGCATTATTTGTTACACAACTTGGAATTTGGGAATAACTAAATGTATTATAATGGGAAAACATTTATCAGCCTTGACTGTTCATCACAATTTTCTGCAGAGATTCTACCAAAATTATAAACTCAGAATTTGTAAAAAGACCCACAGGTAATTAGTTTGAGTTAATGCTAAATAAATTATGGTGCCTATTAGTAATATATATGTACATTTATATAATTTTATATTTAAAAATTAAAATATAACAAAATATATAATTTTATTATTTTTATTTTCATTTTTTTTGAGACATAGTCTTGTTCTGTCACCCAGGTGGGAGTGCAATGGCACAATCTCAGCTCACTGCAACCTCCGCTTCCTGGGTTCAAGCAATCCTCCCACCTCAGCCTCCCAAGTAGCTGGGATTACAATCATGCAGCACCACACCTGGCTCATTTTTGTATTTTTAGTATAGACGGGGTTTCACCATTTGGCCAGGCTGGTCATGAACTGCTGACCTCAAGTGATCCACCAACCTCGGCCTCCCAAAGTGGTGGGATTACAGACATGAGCCACTGTGCCCGGCCAGAAATATTTTATTTAAATCACATTTAAAAATTATTTAATAATACCATACAATAAAATATTTATATTTTTCAAATACATGTAATTAAAATATGTTACTTTTACAGTGTAATAAGATAAAGAATAGAGTTAATATATTGTTACATGTTGAACAAATGTGCCACAAATATGTCACTCTGGTCTACACTTCACTAGGAGAAAAAGTATACATAGATCCTATGCATCTATTCTAAGATTTAGTTAATTTCACTGTTAATTTCATGACCAAGAAACATACATTTGGTTAAGGACAGTGTTTTTACTTGGTTATCCTCAAATCTTTAGATACTAACAGACTATCTTGAAGAGACTTGACACTACAAGAATGAATGAATGAATAGAAGATGAGAGAACAACTAAATGAATTAATGAGCAAATATAAAATCATTTACAGAAAATCTTATATATTAATATATCTTTGGGAGGATTATGTATGTTTTCTCATTTATTTTCCAATCTGAATTTATTTCACTCTTGTGGTTTGGAGTAGCACTTTACATAAAAACATTAATATCCTAAAAATATATAATATTTCTTTCCTGAATTCTTAATTGCCATATAACTTTTTTTTAGGATGGTAGACTTGAGTTTATGGTCAGAATTCTGCATCAAATATTAGAATTGCAAATAAGGCACTCTTGCTTTGTATTAAAAGAACAAGAGCTGCCAGTGTCTGAAAAGTTAATTAGACAAAACAATTAGTTACATCTTATTAACATGTAAAAGATCTGTGACAAATTGCACTAATTGAGTGCTCTTATACATCTGAAGAGGTCAAGCTACTTTAAAAGTATGTTGTTAATGGAAGACAAATGTATCTTTATGTGCTTGATAAGAATATTATAAACTGCATTATTTACGACTCCATTGGAATACTTAATTTTAAGCTTTAAATTAAACTGCTCGTTAAACAAGAGAGCTAGTACTAAGTTCTTAAAATAGGCCATAAAAGCTTGCTTCAGTGTAAGATACATTTGAAGGTCCAGCATTTCCTTAGAATGTCTTCATCGTTTCAATTTTTTTAAGTGACTAAGCCCTGGAAATGTTAAGCTTGTCTTGATGTGCCCTCGGTAAAGGGAGAATCCATTCATTAACAAGGTTAACCCCAAATAAATATTTATTTCTTTTTAAAGAGCTTATAATTGCTGAAACTCAGATCCATTCAGTTGAATAGTTTCATTAGCTCTTAAACTTTATTTCTAAACCAAAGGAAAAAAAAAAAAAAGAAAAGAAAAAGAAAAAAAAGGAAAGGGAAAACAAAAGGAGGAAAAAAGTGATGGGTGTTCTTTGTTCATAGGGACTAAGGGAAGTTTAGGGAATAGGAGTGATTAAAGGCAAAGCAATAGTAGTGGTAAGAGTATATGTTAGAAAAATGGACAAAACACCCAACAGAAGCTTAGAGAGACAAAAAGAAGTAGATGGAAACAGTTTAAAATGAGGAATGAGTCAGAGTCGCTGTTACAGGTAAGTAACTACAAAAAGGTGCTTTGAGATTCTCTCGCTGAGAACCTGTCTACAGGAGGGAACACTAGCAATTCTGAGGGAAATTGTTTCTATTTCAGTTAAAACCAGATGCTCACTCAGGGCTTGTAGGAAGGTTTTGCAAATAATGTAGATTATATTTCTCCAGTATAATATAATGTAGATTATATTTCCTTAGAACCAAAGGCCTTTTAGTATGAGCCTATCACCACATTTTATATGTTTATAGTTGATGAGCTTAGTTCATCAAAGCACCGTGTTAATGAAATCATCTCATCGTTCTAAGATGAACTCTATCAGGAGTTTGGAAACTGCACATAGGCTTATAAAGGGGGGAAATTAAAGGGGGAGAGGGTAAAACATAAACTTATTCCTTCCACTCTCTCTGTATACTTATCCTAGAAGTTTCATGTTGTCTTAATGAACAGTTACATCAGGGTACGCCCGAGACCTCGTCCCTGTATTTAAAAACTCAAGTAATGTAATCTAAAAATCTGAACATTGATAATTATTGTAATTTAATGTCTATAGAATTTATTTTTTTAGCTCTTTTTCTAGCAGCTGTTCATAGATCAGACTCATGTCAAATGATGAAGATTTACAAAATGTCTACTACAATAAGATACTTTTTAAGCTAATGCATGTAAAAAATCCTAATATGTAATGATCACTAAGATACTAACTATTGAACCTAAATCTGAATCATGGGATGATCAATTCTAGAAATTTTAATCTAGAAATATTGCTAGGATATGATGAGATTTATTAAATAATAAATAGACATATGGCCTCTAAAATTAGGAAGGTAATTCTTAAAAGGGAGAATGCATCACATTCATGGGTATTATCATTGTAATATTTCAGCTGAACAATTTTTGGATTACTAAGAAATGTAACATTATAAGAGCATAAATTAAATTATCTAAATGTATAGAAAATAATGTAAAATGACCTAATTATAATCATGGTTCCTTGAGAAATTCTTGGCATATCATCTGTACAAAGCATTTTTTGAAAGTTAGTTTCTAATGTGACTATCTTGTCACATATATTTATACTAACTTTTCATTTAGTGTAAATTTGACATTATTGTGGTAATTGATTTTCAGCATATTATTTAGGTAAATAAACTAAATTTCAGAAAGAATAAAATTATGCATTTTGGAGAGAAAAATTCATACACAAAATGTTGATTCTAAATTTTATGTGAGCATTTCTGTTGAAAAGACTGTGGTTTATACAGGGCACTCTTGTCTCCTTTCTTTGGGGATAGGGAAGCTGAAATCAAGGTTGAATACAAAGTCAAGAACAAAGGTCATAGAAGGCAATTTAATATTGTCACTAGCCAGAATATGAAGCCAATTGTTCAAGCACCAAAGGGATGAAATGAGTCAAATTATTAAATGGTAGTAGAGGTAGCACAGTGATGGATAAGTAACCAGCATCCACGTTGACCCTGTTAAATTTTGTGTATTTGTGCTAAAAAGAATTGAATTGCCCACTGCATTTAAAGAGTAATAGATGAAGCACACATAAATGGTAATGCTTTTAATTATAAACTCATTTTATATTATAAAATAATATAACCAGATTATAAATATCGAGAAAATATACAAGAGAAATGACATTCATAATCTTATGCCTTTGGTTACATCTCTGTAAACATTTGGTCATCTTTTGAACAAACTTAGACTCTTCTGTCCCTGCTGTTCCAAATGATTACTATGTATGTTCATGCTCATTTCACATTGAAGTTGTAACAAGTTACCACAAATTGAGTGGCTTATAGGAAAGCAAAGTTTTATTTCATATATATGGAGGTCAAAGTCTAAAAAAGAGTGGCAGGGCTGCATTCCTTCTGGAGGCCTTAGGAGGCAATCCATTTCCTTGCATTTTCTAGATTCTAGAGAATGCCAGCATTCCTCAGCTTATGTCCCCTTCCTTCATCTTTAAAGCAGTAGTGTAGCATGCTCTAATCTTTCTTTCTGTTCCTTTGCTTCTGTCGTCACTTCATCTTCTGTCTGATTCTAATCCTGTCCCACTCTTAAAAGGACCCTTGTGATTATCCAGGCCAACCTGGATAATTCCGGATAATCTCTCCATCACAAAATCCTCAAATTAATTACATCTGCAAAATTTCCTTGACCATGTAAAGTAACATATTCCCAGGTTTTGAGGATTGAGACATGGACATTGCTGTGGGAGAGGGAGTCATCATTCAGTCTATCACACCATGGTTTCTTCTGGAACCAACGAGCAGAAAAGCTAATGACAAATAATATATCAGTAACCCTAAATTTACAAATTATCAGAATTTGAAAATAATTTCTTTTATTTGCTGCAGATTGACTTCTCTAAGGAACTACCTCAGAACTATGTATGTGTGAAGTATACTGGGGAAGGCTCTAAGAAACACCTGTGAGAGTAAAGGAAGCAGCATTAGTCAGAAGTTTAACTGGGATGCAACAGAGACCTCATCCAATCTCAGAGACAGCTCTGAAGCTGAAATGCATGTGGGCTTTGCCTTTGTGTTCTTCATTGGTGCCGCTGTTGGGGAGTGTGAAGCAAAATCTTGAGAAAAGCAACTTCTTTTTGCACAATTATGAGGTGTCAGCAGCCAACAATGCTGGCAGCTAGGGACTGGGTATCTTGGACTTGAAAGTGTATCTGGTTAGCTTGCCACAGCAAACACTATGCTGATCCTCTAGCAAAGGTGTGTCAGGAATTGGTGGGTTCTTGGTCTCGCTGACTTCAAGAATGAAGCCGTGGACCCTCGCGGTGAGTGTTACAGTTCTTAAAGACGGTGTGTCCAGAGTTTGTTCCTTCAGATGTACAGATGTGTCCAGAGTTTCTTCCTTCTGGTGGGTTCGTGGTCTCGCTGACTTCAGGAGTGAAGCTGTGGACCCTCATGGTGAGTGTTACAGCTCTTAAAGTCAGCACGGACCCAAAGAGTGAGCAGCAGCAAGATTTATTGCGAAGAGCGAGAGAACAAAGCTTCCACAGTGTAGAAAGGGACCCCAGCAGGTTGCCACTGCTGGCTTGGGTGGCCTGCTTTTATTCCCATATCTGGCCCTACCCACATTCTGCTGATTGGTCCATTTTACAGACAGCTAATGGGTCCGTTTTATAGACAGCTTATTGGTCTGTTTTGACAGAGTGCTGACTGGTGCGTTTACAATCCTTTAGCTAGACACAAAAGTTATCCAAGTCCTCACCAGATTAGTTAGACACAGAGCGCTGATTGGTGTGTTTACAAACCTTTAGCTAGACAGAGAGTGTTGATTGGTGCGTTTACAAACCTTTAGCTAGACAGAAAAGTTCTCCAAGTCCCCACCCGACCTAGAAGCCCAGCTGGCTTCACCTCTTAATGGGACTCACGAGGGGCTTTGCAGCACCTAGCCAAGGCACTCTGGCAGCCCAGAGGGAGCTCCTCCCCTGATCAAGTCCAGCAGGCGTGGCCTGCCGGCCAGAGGGCGGGGCCTGAGGAACCCGCGCCCATCCGGAACCCGCGCCGGCCTGCAAGCGCCGCGCGCCTCTCCCTCCACACCTCCCCGCGAGCAGAGGGAGCCGGCTCCGACCTCGACCAGCCCCAGAGAGGAGCCCCCACAGTGCAGCGGCAGGCTGAAGGGCTCCTCAAGCGCGGCCAGAGCGGACGCCGAGGCCGAGGAGGCACCGAGAGCGAGGGCTGCTGGCACGTTGTCACCTCTCAAAGGTATAATCTACAATTAATGAAAGCATATAAATAGCTAACCATCCCACCACCTTTCTTCATCTAGGGTATGAATTTTCTCTTTCACCTTCCTCACAAGGTATTGAGTCCCATAAGGAGGATTCAATTCTCTTTACCAGTCTGTTCGACAAGCAGTTGCCTGGTCTTTCTCTTGATCTTTCAAGCTCCATTTTTTAGGAGCTAGTTCTTTTTTTTTTTTTAATTGTTTTCGTACATGAATCTTGTAAATGGCATGGTTCTATATCTGACATGACTATTCTACTGAATTACTACAAGCTCTCATATTTGCTGTACTTTTAAGTTCCTACTATGCAACTCCACACAACTCTATACAGCTCATTCATTTACTTGTTTTATTTGTTCATTTCTTCATTGCTTTACTCAACAAATATGATACCAAATAAGGGTCAGGCTTAGTAAATAAAAAAGGTATCCCCACTCTCCTTATAGGGATTGTAATGTTCAAAGGAAGATTCATAACAATAATGAAAACAAGAAGTTAATTGGGCTTCCTTCAGGGTGTGAAAGGCGAAGAAGAGAAGTTTTTCTATCCTGAATACAATATAGTACGATCTAGAAAATCTACAAAATCACAACTTTTCTTGAATTGATCAGCGACCTGTGGTTGTAGGGCAACCAACAAAGCCAATATCTAAGGAAAGGCAGACACCTCCAAGGAGAGACATGATGCTAGCTCTTGTTTGCTTACAGTAGACAAAGAACACCAGGCAGGCAGGTAAGAACTCAGTTAAAATTTTTAATAAATTGCTAAATGTTGAGCATAGGAGAATGTGAGCATATAGAAGTATTAGAAGCCACACATACAAAGGGAATTTGGAGAGATTCACAGGTTCTTCCCCACAGGCCTCACTGTGAGCTCATGATGAAAAGTGAAACAAAAACCCTCAGAAAAACTCCTCTCTGAAGCTTGCCTGGGAAAGACGTACAGCAGCATCTAGGCCCCTATCTTCCCTATGAAACCAAAGCTTTAACCTAGTAGGGTTAGGGAAACCAATCATATCACTTTTAGGACAAGGGTAAAGACCCATTCCAGCTGGGGAAAAAGAAAAGAAAAAATATTCTATTCTTAGAGAAGTGCCGGAAATACATTTATGGCCTAGACAATTAGAGGTATGGACAAGGGCACTGAAAAGGCACCAAATCCAGAACCCAGGGACACAGCACTTACCTAAGTTAGAGGCTGAGCCCCAACAATAGAGAATCACTCCCCTCCCCTCTGCTAGCAGGTTAGTAAGTTTTGAGCTATAAATAATAGCAATTCACTGCTGGAAGAAGGTGTAGAAAATTAAGAGAGACATACTCTGAAGAAGGACAAATGAAGGGAAAGACTTGAAGCTATAGATGGAACAGACACTGAAAGGAGACTCTGCCAAATAAATCCCAGGCTCAAGCACAAGATAGTACTAGAGAAATGTGAAAGCTTTAGTGCACTGTGGGTAAACATAGAGTGGTATGCAGAATCCCAAGATGGCCCCAATATCCTGAAGTAAAACAGATTTTCACATCGGCCTTGAAGGAGGAAACTGCCATTTAAGTTTTCACGTTAGTGCAGGAAATAACAGGTGTTTTTATGCTCTGAGAATGGCCCCCAGTTAACAGACAGCAAGAAAGTGAGAACCTTAGTCTTACAATCATAAAAAATTGCATTCCTTTAACAAACCAAATGAGTATGAAATGGAACCCAGAGTCTCAGATAAAATTGCAATCCAGGCCAACAACTTGATTCTAGCTTCATGATTCTGAACAGGGAACTGAGCCATACTGTACTTGGACTTCTATTCACAGGAAATATGAGATAACAAATGGGTGGTTTTTGTTTTGTTTTCATATTCATTTTTATCATCTCCAGCTTAACAGACTCTAATCAGTTCGTAACAGAATAAAAAACTCAGTTATAGCCCCAATAGCTCCAATAGATGGTATTTTCTTGAGGTATTCTTGTAACATAAAATTAACTATTTTAAATTATATAACGTAGTGGCATTCAGTACATTCAAAAGATTGTAAAATCATCACCTGTAACTAGTTCCCCCACCACAAAAAAAGAGTGCAGTTTTAAGTCACAAATTTCTGATTACCTGTCACACAGCAATAGAAAACTAATACAGATATTAGGGCCCAATATTCATCAACTCAAATAAATGAGGGGCATTGGACGGGTCATAGCTTAATGTAAATATAAAATTCAGTTTCTTAACACAAAAACAGAAAACTAAACACCGCATGTTCTCACTCATAAGTTGGAGTTGAACAATGAGAACACATGGACACAGGGAGGGGAACATCACACACAGGGGCCTGTTGGGGGTGAGGGAGCTAGGGGAGGGATAGCATTAGGAGAAATACCTAAAGTTGATGACAGGTTGATGGGTGCAGCAAACCACCATGGCACGTGTATACCTATGTAACAAACCTGCACGTTCTGCACACGTACCCCAGAACTTAAAGTATAATAAAACTCAGTTGCTAATTTTAATTGCTGTGGATTATTACTGTCTAAAACAAAAGTATTAGCAATGAATATAACAACAATATTGTGAGTAGAAAAGGAATTGGGAATGTATTGTGTAAGATCTTTACAGTACAATGTGAAACATTAATTTTCTATTGTTGTGTGATAGTTTACTGGTCTACCTTCAATTTACTAAATATATATATTGTAAACCCTAGGGAAAGAGCTGTTTTTAATAAAATGTATAAATAACAAGTCATTAGTAGAAAAATAAAATGATAATTCATCAATCCAAAAGAAGAAAGAAAGATGGGAAAAAGAAACCATAAAACAGAAAACAGTTAGGACATTTTAATAAAACCATATCAATAACTACATTAAATATAAATGGCCTAAACACAAATAAAAGACAGAGATCCAAGTAGATACTATCTACAAGTAGGCTACTTTAAATTCAATTGGAAAAAAAATCATTTTTAAAAAATCCCATGTAAACATTAATAAAAAAAAATCTAGTGGCTATATCGATATCAGAAAAAATAGACTTCACAAAAAAGACTATTAGCAGAATAAAAAGGACATTATATAATAATAAAGGGGACTTCACAAAAAAGACTATTAGCAGAATAGAAAGGACATTATGTAACGATAAATGGGTCAATTCACTAAGGAGACACAATAATCCTAAATGGTAATGCACCTAAGAGCATAGCTTTGAAATATATAAGGCAAAAAACATATAAAAGAGAACAGAGAGAAGAAATAGATAAATCCATAATTGTATTTGGAAATGTAAACACTTCTTTCTTAATAACTGATTAAATAAGTAGGCAAAAAATCATTATATTTATTAGAAAATTCAACTGACATTTATGGAACACTCTACTCAGCAACAGTAGAAGATACAGTCTCTCCACTTGTATGTAAGCTACATGTTAACCAGACAATATTTTGAGCTGTAAAACAAACTATAACACATTTAGAAGAATTGAGATGCAAAGTATGTACTCTAACCATACTGGAATTAAACTAAACATCAATAGCAGAAAGATATCTTGAAAATCCCTAAATGTTTAGAAATTAAACAACGTACTTCTGTGTATTCCCTGGGTCAAATAGAACATCATAAGCAAGGCTAGAAAATATTTTTTATTAAGTGAAAATACAATACAACCTACTAAAATTTGTAGGCTGCAACTTAAACACTGTGTAGAGGGTAATTATGAAATTAAAGGCTTACAATAAAAAAGTCTCTAATTAATTATCTAAACTTCTACTTTAAGAAAGTAGAAAAAGAAATGCAAATTAGATTCAAGACATGAAGAAATAAATAATAAAAACAAATGCAGCAGTCAATAGAATTGAGAATAGAGAAACAGCAGAATCATTTAAGCCAAATATTGTTCTTTTTTAAATTTTTATTTCATTATTATTATACTTTAAGTTTTAGGGTACATGTGCATGATGTGCCGGTTTGTTACATATGTATACATGTGCCATGTTGGTGTGCTGCACCCATTAACTCGTCATTTAGCATTAGGTATATCTCCTAATGCTATCCCTCCCCCCTCCCCCCACCCCACAACAGTCCCCAGAGTGTGATGTTCCCCTTCCTGTGTCCATGTGTTCTCGTTGTTCAATTCCCACCGATGAGTGAGAACATGCGATGTTTGGTTTTCTGTCCTTATGATAGTTTACTGATAATGATGGTTTCCAGTTTCATCCATGTCCCTACAAAGGACACTAACTCTTCATTTTTTATGGCTGCATAGTATTCCATGGTGTATATGTGCCACATTTTCTTAATCCAGTCTATCGTTTTTGGCCATTTGGGTTGGTTCCAAGTCTTTCCTATTGTGAATAGTGCTGCAATAAACATACATGTGCATGAGTCTTTATAGCAGCATGATTTATAATCCTTTGGGTATATACCCAGTAATGGGATGGCTGGGTCAAATGGTATTTCTAGTTCTAGATCCCTGAGGAATTGCCACACTGTCTTCCACAATGGTTGAACTAGTTTACAGTCCCACCAACAGTGTAAAAGTGTTCCTAGTTCTCCACATCCTCTCAGCACCTGTTGTTTCCTGACTTTTGAATGATCACCATTCTAACTGGTGTGAGATGGTATCTCATTGTGGTTTTGATTTGCATTTCTCTGATGGCCAGTGATGCTGAGCATTTTTTCATGTGTTTTTTTGGCTGCATAAATGTCTTCTTTTGAGAAGTGTCTGTTCATATCCTTCACCCACTTTTTGATGGGGTTGTTTGTTTTTTTCTTGTAAATTTGTTTGAGTTCATTGTAGATTCTGGATATTAGCCCTTTGTCAGATGAGTAGGTTGCGAAAATTTTCTCCCATTTTGTAGGTTGCCTGTTCACTCAATATCGTGAAAATGGCCATACTGCCCAAGGTAATTTATAGATTCAATGCCATCCCCATCAAGCTACAAATGACTTTCTTCACAGAATTGGAAAAAACTACTTTAAAGTTCATATGGAACCAAAAAAGAGCCCGCATCACCAAGTCAATCCTGAGCCAAAAGAACAAAGCCAGAGGCATCACGCTACCTGACTTCAAACTATACTACAAGGCTACAGTAACCAAAACAGCATGATACTGGTACCAAAACAGAGATATAGATCAATGGAACAGAACAGAGCCCTCAGAAATAATGCCGCATATCTACAACCATCTGATCTTTGACAAACCTGACAAAAACAAGCAATGGGGAAAGGATTCACTATTTAATAAATGGTGCTGGGAAAACTGGCTAGCCATATGTAGAAAGCTGAAACTGGATCCCTTCCTTACACCTTATACAAAAATTAATTCAAGATGGATTAAAGACTTACATGTTAGACCTAAAACCATAAAAACCCTAGGAGAAAACCTAGGCAATACCATTCAGGACATAGGCATGGGCAAAACACCCATGCCTAAACACTTCATGTCTAAAACACCAAAAGCAATGGCAACAGAAGCTAAAATTGACAAATGGGATCTAATTAAACTAAAGAGCTTCTGCACAGCAAAAGAAACTACCAAATATTGTTCTTTAAAGAAATTAGTAAAATTTATAAATCCCCATTCAGACAGACCAAGAAGTTAGATTTTATTATAAGTGTAACAGGAGTCTATTGAAAAGTTGTAATGAGGAAAGTGAATTAATAATATTTGCATTTTCAAATGATTTATTTTTTGGCTGCTCTGTGAAAAATAAATTAGATGTGGGTAGGAGTTAAAACCTAGAAATTAGTAAATTAGTAAAGACAGACAAACAAACAAAGTTATGTATTATACTAGTGCAGTGGCAGCAAAGTTCTGGAGATTTCATGCATAGTGTGTAGTAGAAATTAAAAGACTTGCTCAGGTACTGGGTGTGGAGAGAAAGACAGAGCCTTGACCAGTGGAATTCTGAGTTAAAGAAGACTAAGAAATTAGCAGATCTGTGGGAGGAAAACAAGAATTCAGCCATTGACAAGTGATGACTTACTTCACAGAGGAACAAAAGGGTAATAAAAGAGAATCATTAAAGACTTACAGGAATAGCCAAACACATTTGAAAAGATCCAGCAAACCATACTGATATAGAAGCCAGATAAGGAAAGTATTTCAAGAATGGAGTAGTCAACTGTGTAAAATATCACTATAAGATAGATTTAGAAGAGGACCTACCACATGGAAATAACGAATAAACTTTACTATTATATTTTCAGTGAAAATGTATGGGTAGAAGCCAGGTTGAAATATGTTAAAGAATGAACATATAGTAAAAACTAGATGCAACTTGAGTAGACAACTCTTGCAAGAGCCTCAAAACAGATAAATAAGGAAGCATACACAGTGTCATAAGTGTATACCAGGTAAATGGATAGTATTATAGGATGAGAGACGCAGACATGTTTGTAAAAATAGAAATGGATACTGTAAGGGGAGTGAATAAAAGAAGAAAATTGTGACACAAGCAAGATTTAAATATGGAGCATGCCTAAGGCTATCTCAGACCAATATCTTCTTAGTAATAAAGTTTACCTCTTTTTAAGTCACAGGGGAAAAGCCATTTTCTTGTGGTCTCTGGCTCTGCACACAATATTATTTCATGTTTTCTCAGTCAGAGAACTTGTGCTCTGTTCTCTCTGTAGATATTTATGGGAATCCATGATTGAAAGCCCTCCTTAACCTTCTAAGTTTCTTGCGGCGTGACTCATATCTCAAGAAACATTATTTTAAATAGTGTATTCTTATAAACACCACCAATGATTAGAAGTATTAAAAATGCAAATAGATCCTAAGGCTCCCTATATTACACATTCCTCAGGCTCTCTTTACCCATATTTATCACATTGTACTCAAGACAAATAGTTTCTTCCAGTACTAATGGAAATCAGGGGACTCCCAAAAGGATGATGAATCAAAAATTCATCAGAAAACTCATCTCGGATACACTACAACTGTCTTTGAATTAATGGAATCTCAATTTCTGAATGGGCATTAAGATTCTTATACTCATAAAAAGTTGAATCAAAGTTATTTATTATGTTTTATGCCAAGTCTACCATGATGCTAGATAGTTCTTAGTTTTTTCTTATACCAGTTCTTCTCAAATTTTTCATCTCAAACCAACTTATACTCTTAAAAACTGTTAAGAACTCCAAGCCCCAAATAACTTATGTTATGAAGTTATAGCTATTGCTATTTAACAAATTATAAATAATTGAGAAAATTTAAAATATTAATAAACTTTAAAATTATAGCAAACCCATTTACCTTAATATAAAAATTATATTTTTATGAAAGTAACTCTACTTTCCCCAACAAAAATTTACTTTTAGTAAGTAAAGTGGCATTGTTTTATGTTTTTGCAAATCTCTTTAAAGGCTGACTTGAACGAAGAAAGCTGGATTCCCAGAGCTGTTTATGCATTCAACTTATTGGACTATGTTGCTTTGATTGAGGTATATGAAAGGAAATCTAGTCTAACACAGGTAATATGCCATTGAAAAACAGAGGAATATTTTAACAGACTTTTCAGATATTTGTGGCTACTCTTCTTTGACAAGCAGTGGTTTCATAAAGATTAGCTGCATTGTGACATCTGAAACTATATCAGTGAATTTTAGTGCTCTGTTACATTAAAATCCTTTCATTGGCTATACATTTCAAATGGATCTTTTGCCCATATATAATGTTATAATATTATGAATTTGCCATTTGGAAAATTGATTCCTTATGCTATGTAGATATTCCAAATGTAGATATCTTTCTTATGCAATTGTAAAAAAAAATCACATTTGTTATCACCAATCTCATCAGAGAGCCTTTAAATACTGGGAAATTATCAAGGTCATAGTGGCAGCTTCAAGCTTTCTATGATTTAAATTTCCAATTAAAGCCTCAGTTTTCATCCCTGGTAATAAATATTGTCAGTTATTTTCCTTGAAGTGACAGGCTCACTAAGTTCAATTTCCAGAAAATATCTGCCAGATACCAAAGTCTTAACCATTAGACTGGGAGTTATTCTTTCAAATAAAAAAGGTGCTTTATGAAAAAAGTGACTAGTTCATCTTATTAATCAGATAACCACACAAATGCTTTTTCTTGAGTTAACCAACATATTAACCTACAGAATGCTTTATGTGTGTTTTTCATTTTGTAAAACAGAATAGATATATACTCAAGGATTGAGATTAGATATATACTCAAGGTATATATCTATATATTGAGAATATATAGATATCTATATATTGAGGTATATTGAGATATATTGAGAATGTGTATATATATATATTGAGAATAGATATATACTCAAGGATTGAGATTTAACAACATTAGCAATTTTAGTACTTCATTGGAGCATTCTTAGGCAAAACTATCCTCTTTTTTCTTTTTTTATCTGCAAGTGCATGATGGTAAAGAATACAATGATGATTTGGTACCACTGCCTGGATTTATGCTAAGGCACTAGCAGTTTTACCCACTATTAGTTTTTTACTATCTTTGCTAATATCAAATAAACTCTTTTTTTAAATATTAAGTTTGATATTACAGATTCCCTAAAAATAACTTGGGTCCCTTAAGCATCCACTGGACTACACATTGAGAATAACTTCCTTACTTCTTAGATATACTGGTAAAAATAAAGTTTAGGGATTAATTTATCTATAGCTACTATGGGAAAAGGATGACAGTTATTAATTTTGTGATTTGAGGCCCTATTTAATATATTTTGCTAGTCACTGAGGCCCTAGGCTATCACCTAAAACCTTTCATAATTAGTAACTTCAATATATGGCTCTGTCAAAGTTGGAGTATCATGCTACAAATAAAAGTGATGGCATACATTTTAATACTAAAGGTGAAACAGGAGAAGTGTTTGTTTCTCCACCCAGTCATTCCCTCTCAATCCCATTCTAATTTTCAATGAAGATTTAGCTGCAACACACAGCATTCTTGATAAAATTAGAAGCCTTGAGTTACAGTGTCCTTGAATTATAACAACACAGGGAGTTCAATGAAGTAAGTCACTTACAAATAAGTATACAAAACTATCTCCCATGTATACTAAATACAAGCACTGAGAAAATGAGAAAAAACTAATGCTTTGACAACCCAATAAAAATGTAAAATTTCTAGCAATAAACTGAGCAAGAATATGCAAGACCTCTCTGAAGAAAACTCCATGAATTTACAGAGGACATAAAAGGAGACTTGACAATTGGTAAATGCACACCATGCCAGTAAGTAGAAAGAATAAACAATTGTAAACACTTTGAATCTTGGGCTAATTAACTCATATATTTAACCCAATCACAAATAAAATCAGAATGACTTTTTCTCTTGAATTTGAAAATATTGAGTTTATGTTTCTCCAATAAAATAAATACGTGAGATGTCAGAATAATTTTGACAAAATAAGGAATTTCTTTTTTTTTTTATTATACTTTAAGTTTTAGGGTACATGTGCACATTGTGCAGGTTAGTTACATATGTATACATGTGCCATGCTGGTGCGCTGCACCCACTAACTCGTCATCTAGCATTAGGTATATCTCCCAGTGCTATCCCTCCCCCCTCCCCCCACCCCACCACAGTCCCCAGAGTGTGATATTCCCCTTCCTGTGTCCATGTGATCTCATTGTTCAATTCCCACCTATGAGTGAGAATATGCGGTGTTTGGTTTTTTGTTCTTGCGATAGTTTACTGAGAATGATGGTTTCCAGTTTCATCCATGTCCCTACAAAGGACATGAACTCATCATTTTTTATGGCTGCATAGTATTCCATGGTGTATATGTGCCACATTTTCTTAATCCAGTCTATCATTGTTGGACATTTGGGTTGGTTCCAAGTCTTTGCTATTGTGAATAATGCCACAATAAACATATGTGTGCATGTGTCTTTATAGCAGCACGATTTATAGTCATTTGTGTATATACCCAGTAATGGGATGGCTGGGTCAAATGGTATTTCTAGTTCTAGATCCCTGAGGAATCGCCACACTGACTTCCACAATGGTTGAACTAGTTTACAGTCCCACCAACAGTGTAAAAGTGTTCCTATTTCTCCACATCCTCTCCAGCACCTGTTGTTTCCTGACTTTTTAATGATTGCCATTCTAACTGGTGTGAGATGATATCTCATAGTGGTTTTGATTTGCATTTCTCTGATGGCCAGTGATGATGAGCATTTTTACATGTGTTTTTTGGCTAATATCCAGAATCTACAATGAACTCAAACAAATTTACAAGAAAAAAACAAACAACCCCATCAAAAAGTGGGCAAAGGACATGAACAGACACTTCTCAAAAGGAATTTCTAATTATTAAAGATACGCATGTCAAAATATACCCACTGAAACAATGAGAAACTGAGACAAGGTTAAACAAGGTGTCCAGTGCCATAGAACACAAAATCAAGAAATAGACTGAAGTTATATAATAAATATGATCCATAATCATTATGATCATAATAATAGCAATAATATGCTAAATATTGATTGTGTGCCATGTACTATTGTAAGTGCTTAATATACTTTAACTATTTAGTCCACTCTGAAATTGTGTGAGGTAGGCGCCATTATTTCCTCACTTTGGAGATGAGTTTTCTGAGTCTGGTAAATTGAGGACAATTAAGTAACTGATTTTGGAAAACTGATTTGCCATCAGAGAGAAATAAAGTTAGGGATTTGTTTCTAATACCTGCTCTAAAATATAGATATATTAAATATAAAATACAAGGAAAACAAAACTTTCAAAACATGGCAAACTATTTACATAAACTATGGGCAGAAAATACCTCTCTTAGCATGATACCAAAGACAAAGACATAATGTAAAAGCTTGATAAAATACACAAATTATATATTTTTTTCTACCTTCAGGCAAATATTTGAGAAAAATAGATAATATCCAGAATGGTGAAGTTATAGGAAAATGGGCAATCTCATTTACTTCTGGCTGGATGATGCAACAAGAGCCTTGAACACATGCATACTCTGTAAGCCAGGAATTATATTTCTAGAATATTTTCACAAGGAATCAGACAAGTTTACAAGAAGGTACATATAAAAATATTCATAAGGATTTTTACAAGTTTAATAAATTGGATATAATGTAAATATCTCAAAACAGTGGCCTACTAGGATAGAAATTGTAGTGTATATCCATATAGTAAAGTAATTGAGAGGCATCACAATTATGAGGGAGATGTGCATTTGTGGGCATGGAAAGATGTTCTATACAGACAAAATGAGCACTACTTATCAAATTAACTATATTAAGAGTTTGGCCCCACATTTATTACACCTCCCACCTACACACACACCATCTGAAACAGGGATTTTTAAACTTCGCTATATGTTATAGTCAACTGGGGAGATTATAAAATTCTCATTGCTTAGATAACAATCCAGACCAATTCAATAAGATTTTATTTTTTTTGAGATAGAGTTTCACTCTTGTTGCCTAGGCTGGAGTGCATTGGTGCGATCTCAGCTCACTGCAACCACCACCTCCCAGGTTGCAGTGATTCTCCTGCCTCAGCCTCCCAACTAGCTTGGATTACAGGCATGTGCCACCACACCCGGCTAATTTTTGTATTTTTAATAGTGACAGGGTTTCACCATGTTGGTCAGGCTGGTCTCCAACTCCTGACCTCAGGTGATCCAACTATTTTGACCTCCCAAAGTGCTGGGATTACAGGCTTGAGCCACTGCACCTGGCCTCAACAAGACTTTCTAGAGGTAGGACACAAATATCAATAATACTTTAATTGTTCTAAAATTAATCCAATATGCAACAAAGTTTTTTGCATACAGAATCATGTGATACAGAATCATATGCTGATTCAGAATCATGCAGATACTACATCATATGCTGTTACAGAATTATATGTATCAATAGTACATAAGAATGATAAGTTATTAGTTGTGATTGTCTTTGATGGGTAGAATTATTATATATTTTGTCTGTTTTTTCTTATATCTGCTTGCAGTTTTAACATATGGATTATTTGAATGATGATAATAGTATTGTGGGTATTAGTATATGTAATGAGGAATCTGCCTCTATTTCTTGATATCTTATTACTGACAGCTATTAAGGCATGCTCCCTCTTTCCCCTGTTCCCCACATCTGGATAGTGTGCCATGTAGGCTGATAATAAAGCTCGGATGCTCCCTTCTTTGGCACAGGTGGGAGATTCGAACCTTTAAGCCTCTTCTTGCATATGAACCTTCACCTTGGCCCCACCCCTAACCACAATAAAAATCCAGACCAGTATCCTTCCCTTGCCATTTTGGACAGTGAGAGAACTATCATACTCTCCCCCAAAGACCCCAATTATGAAGTACTAAACTTTTCATACTTATGACATGCGTGTTGTCATCAGTTTTAACATCTAACCAAACTTTGAGTGGGGGTTCCATCTGACTTTGCAGGAGACAATGACAGCATGGAAAACACCCACCTTTGAAAATGGTCATTGTAATTTCTCATAAGGCCACATGCCTTCATTTACAACCAAATATCCTCTTTCCCTTATGGTACCAGGGCTTTTTTTGTCCTCAGCTGCTAAAGACTCCTGCTCAGTCCTCTGGAAACAGGTGTGTTTATGTCTCTATTTTCCTATCAGAGCAATTTCTGGGAGATTTGGAATCTATTCCTTATTTCAGCTGAATTTGCAGGGTATTTGGAGTAGAATCTGCCTATTGTGGCATGGCTTTGTTCTATTTTCATGTGACACATCAACATTATTCCTTGATTCAGATTCTTCTTGGGTTGTGATGCCATGCCAGGAAATGGACTAAACATTCAACACTTCAGTTTTAGAGCCTCAAAGTTAATCTCTTATTTTAATTTTATTTTTTAAAGTTGACACATAATAATTGGGCATAGTTATGGAATAGTGAATTTCCATACACACAATGCATAGTGATCAAATAAAGATAATTAGCGTATTCATCACCTCAAAAATTTATCTTTTGTGTTGAGAACATTTAAAAGTCTCTTCTCTAGATATTTGAAAATATATAATAAATTGTTGTTGACTATAATCACACTACAATGCTATAGAACAATATAACTTATTTCTCCTATCTAGCTGTAATTTTTCCTACTTTAACAAATCCCTCCCCATTTCTCCACTTCCTTACCCTTTCCAGCTTCTAGTAACCACTATTCTACTATTATAGTCTATGAGTTCAATCTTTTTAGTTTCCACATATGAGTGAAAATATGCAATATTTATTTTTCTTTTCCAGGGTTATTTCACTTAATGTCCTCCAGGCTCATACATGTTGCTTCAAATAATAGGATTTTATTCTTTTTATGGCTGAATATTATTTCATTGTGTATATATACCACATTTTCTTTATCCAGTCATCTATTGATGAACACACAGGCTGATTGAATAGCTTGTCTTTTGTGAAGAAGGCTGCAATCAACATGGGGATGTCAATACCTTTTTGATATACTGATTTCCTTTCTATAGTGAAATTGCTGGGTCATATGGTAATTCATTTTTAGTCTTTTGAGGAACCTCAATACTGTTCTCCATAATGGTGGCACTAGTTTACATTCCCCAGAACAATGTATAAGAGTTCCCTTTCTTTCACCTTTACCAGCAGGTTATTTTCGATTTTTTGATTATGGCCACTTTATCTGGGGTGAGGGAATATCTGATTGTGGTTTTGATTTACATTTCCTTCATGGATAATGATGTTGAGCATTTTTTTTCACACTCTTAGGCTATTTGCATATTTTTTGAGAAATGTTTATTCAGATCGGTTATACATTTTTAAATTTGGTATTTGTTAAGGTTTTTTTTTGTTGTTAGGTTGTTTGAGTTCCTTGTATGTTTTGGATATTACTGTCTTGTCAGATGAATAGTTTGCAAATGTTTTCTTCCATTCCTTAGGTTGTCCTTTCACTCCATTGATTGTTTCCTTTGCTGTGCAGAGATTTTTAGATTGATACAATTCCATTTTGTCTATTTTTGCTTTTGTTGCCAGTGCTTTTGAGGTCTCATTAATAAAATCTTTTCCTAGACCAATGTTCTGAAGCATCTCCCTTATATTTTCTTCTAGTAGTTTTATAGTTTCAGGTTTTACATTTAAGTTGTTAGGATTTTGAGTTGAATTTTTAATATGATGAGAGATAGGGGTCCAGTTTCATTCTCCTGCATATCCTTATTTAGTTTTTCCAACATCACTTATTGAAGAGTCAATTCTTTCCTCAATAGATGTTCTTTGTGCCTTTGTTGAAAATGAGCTGACTGTAAATAAATGGATTTATTTCTGATAGCTCTATTTTGTTCCACTGGTCTGTGTGTCCATTTTCATGCCAGTACTGTGTTGTTTTGGTTATTATACTTTTGTAGCATATTTCAAAATCTGTTAGTGTAATGACCCCAGCTTTGTTCATTTTGCTCAGGATTGCTTTCAATATTTGGGGTCTTTTGTGGTTTCATACATATTTTATGATTTTTTTTTCTATGTTTGTGATGAGTGTCATTGATGTTTTGGTAGAGACTGCATTGAATCTGTAGATCACTTTGGATAGTGTGGTCATTTAAAAAATATAAATTCTTTTTGTCCATGAACCTAGGATACCTTTTAATTTTTTGTGTTTTCTTCAATGTCTTTCATCAATGTTCCACAGTATTCCTTGTATATATCTTTCACCTCCTTGGTTAAATTTAATCCTATGTATTTTATTTTATTTTATTTTAGTTATTGTAGCTATTGTAAATGGAATTGATTTTCTGATTCTTTTTCAGCTAGTTCATTGTTGGAGTACATAAATGCTACTAATTTTTGTATGTTGATTTTATATTGTGCAAATTTACTGAATTTCTTTATTTCTACAAGGTTTTTGGTGGAATCTTCAGGTTTTGTCATATGTAAGATTATATCTTCGGCAAACAGGGACGTTTTCACTTTCTTGTTTCCAACACAGATGTCCTTCCTTATACTTGCCTAATTGCGCTGGCTAGGACTTAAAGTACTATGTTGAATAAGAGTGGTGAGAGTAGTCATCTTTGTCTTTCATTTTGGTTGTGCACAGTAGTGTAATCTCTGTATGGCTTCTTTGTCTGCAAACAGGGTTAGTAATTTCCTCTGAGAGTGAGGGTGTAGTTATTTGTGAAGGCTATAGTGAAGTTGTACTGGGGACTAAGAAGCCAGATGGGCCAGTCTTCAAGCCCAGTGGTGGCAGCAGTGGGCTGATGTGCCTGTCTTTTTGTCCCCAGGTGATATACACTGGTACCTGTGTTGGCAGTTACCAGTGGGCCAATTCTTGGGCCTCCAGGTGCCTTGCTTAGATGCCAGTAGTGGTAGTGGTGGGCTGAGTGGTTGAGTGGTTCTCAGGTCCATGGCCAGCTGACATGTGTGGTCAATGGCAGTAGTTGTGGTGGGACCACCTTCTGGGTCCAAAATGGTACAGGGTAGTGTTGGTAGTGGCTGCAGCCCCAGATAAACTGCTCTCAGGCTCTTCTGCCACAGAGAATGTGGCAGGAATGCTATAATGCCACATGGAGGAGGGGAGGGTGCCCACTTTTACATACAAGTCCAGATAAGGGGGCCATGCTGCCGGTGGGGTTGCAGATGCCACTCATCACCACAGACTGGTAGCCCTTCACTTTTGCAGCAGCAGGAGTGAATGTGCAGAAGGGTAGGAAGGGTCCTATTCTTTATGCAAGAGCTTGAGCCACAGATGCCTGTCTGCTGGTGGGAGAGTAATTCACTCTTTGCTTGCAAAGCCAAGCACAGATTTTGTTTCACTACTGGGGCAAAGTCACTTCTCATAGCCACAGACAGAGAGCTCTCATGCTCTGGAAAGCATGAACTTTGGTTTACTTTATCCTAAGGACTGCCTTTTGGTTTGCTGCACCACCCTGTGTGCTAAAGTACTGGGGACCTTGCAGTACCTCTGGGTCCAGCCAGTGCTGTGTTGCTGCCATTTGCTTAGCGGATGCTGGGGAATATCAGGCGGTGCTCCAGGGGATGTGGAAATATGGGGGCTAATGTTTCCAGGGCAAGCGCAATCCTGTGACAGCTCTGTTCCCAAAATGGTGCCCTGCTTCAGCCATTCAGTCTTATCAGGGAACTGAGTGACCCAACATGAGTTCCCTGTCTATTGCAATACCCTGTGGAGTCTTCACATCATCACCCACCCTGGTGTCAGGGTTCATGTGGGTACAGAAGTTCTCCCACGATTTGGAATATAGCAGTCTTTCTGGGTCAGAAATGTGGACTATTGAAGCTATTCCACTTAGGTTTTCTCCACAATTTTGAGTCCCTCTAGGCTCCTGGCTGATGTCATCTGTGCTGGCCATTTGCTTGCTTCACGTTCTGTGCCTCAGTTGTTTCCAGTGAGTTCTCTGCCAGATTCTAGTGTTCTCTCCGAGATATTCTATTGGAGTATAATTGTTTATGTATCAATTTGGTTCTTCTTTCTGGAGAGATTGAGTGTCTGATGTCTCCAGTCAGCCATCTTGATCCCTCTCTTCAATATGTTTTTTAAAATATAAAATCGTGGTTCTCTAAGAAATATAAACACATGTCAAATTTTTATTTAACTTAATTAATGAGAGAACTTGTAAGATGTTATTACTGATTGAGAGGAGCATTTAAATAGCCAACTTTTTATGCAGTAATGAAATGCTAAAATGAATTTATAAACAGATGCATATAATTTGTCTAGTCACAGGTAATAATCAATTCATTTACTGAACACAAAAAAATGTATATTTTTAAGGACAGAAAGCTTTTCCATTATTATTAGCTTTCTACAACATACAGTATTGTAATATAGGTCAAGAATAATGAAAAGCAGAGATAACTGAGATGGAGCAAGCTAGATGAGGGAATCAATCATAAATCCCAAAGACAGAATTTCAAATGTCAAAATCCCAAAAGTGAAAATCTTGAAAGATCAAAATCCCAACAATGTAATTCTAGAAAAATAAATAAAACATAATGTATTAGTCAGAGTTCTCTAGAGGTACAGAAGTAATAGTATATATGTATATATGAAAGGGAGTTTATTAAGGAGAATTGACTCACAAGATCACATCCAGCACAGGAGAAAGATGAAGGCCAGAAGACTCAGAAAATCTAGTCCTTTTATGTTCTTCTGCCTGCTTTTTATCCTAGGTGCACTGGCAGCTGATTAGATGGTGCCCACCCAGATTGAGGGTAGGTCTGGCCTCTCCCAGTTCACTGACTTAAATGTTAATCTCCTTCGGCAACATCCTCACAGACACACCCCAGAACAAGACTTTGCATCCTTT
This sequence comes from Homo sapiens, assembly GCF_000001405.40. NCBI lineage: Eukaryota > Metazoa > Chordata > Mammalia > Primates > Hominidae > Homo > Homo sapiens. The sequence goes on along the minus strand of NC_000004.12, from coordinate 137,836,173 downwards.
AATCCAATCAAGTTGGCACTCAGTATTAACCATCACACATGAAAAGTAAGTTATTTAAAAGATATCTATTTAAACATTTTTAAAGGGGATTTGTTTAAGAAAAAACACATAAAACATGACAGAACAATTCATGGGCCAACTTACACAATAAAATAAGCAATAGTAGCATACATGTTTTTGCAAGCATAAACACTCCTGTATACTAAGGACAGTTACATGGGTACCACAGTTATAAACTTAAAAATCATATTAATAAAAAATAGGTTATACAGCAAAATGTATAAGCACATATCTCTATGGTGGTAATTGTGTGCACCCAGTTTTATAACTACACTTATCTGAAATATCATGATGGACAACGGAAGTCTTTTGATGAGATTGATCAAAAATCACAGTGAGTTGCCACTGCATATGCAGTTGCCCGAAGAACTAAAATCTTGAAAAATTTTCTATTTCATGAAAGCAGATGTATAAAAAGAAAATTTCTTTATTTGTTGAGGAAGTTTCAGCATTTTATGTTGATAATTGGGAAGCTGATAGTATAACTTTCAGTCTGAGGCTGAAAGCCTCAAGACCTGGGGGCTGCTGCTTTAAGTTTGGGAGTCCACAGTCCAGTGATCCTGGAGTTCTGATGTTCAAGGCAGCAGAAAAAAGGGCTGATCAATTGCCTTCTGTATTTGTTTTCTCTATGCCCTGGCGAATTGGATGGTGCCTGCCAGCATTGAGAGAAGATCTTCATCTAGTCCAGTCATACTCACAAACTAATCTCCTCTGGAAACACCATCACAGACACATCCAAAATAATGTTTTGTTAAGTTCCTAGGTATTTCTTAATACAATAAAATTGACACCTAAAATTTAGTCCAGATGTCCATCCTTTGTCAATTTGCCACCCATATGCATCTCTTTAAACCATACTTAATTTCCATATAAAGATAATAACAAGGCAATAGCTCCACCCAACATGATGGAAGTATCCTGTCATTGTAACTTTGGGGATTTTGAACATTAATGATTTTGAACATTATGTCAGGGTTTGTTGATCTTCAGAAATTTCAACATTTGGGATTATGACATTCAGTATTATGTCTTTTGGTATTATTACTCTAACCCCTAGAAAGGACTACCATTACTGTTTTTTGGCCTATCTCAAAGTCATCACATAAGTTTTTGTGACAGCTCCAATTGTTTACTTCTTCTCTTTTTGCCTGTTTTATTACCAATATGAAAATCTGCCTTTTTATATTTTCTCTTGCAACATTGCTGTTTTCAGAAAGGACGTACAGCACTTTGGGGCCAATACTAAGGTAATTACATAATTAATGCACAAAAATAGGGAAAATTTAACATTTAGTATTAGATATTGCTATCCAAAGAGCTAGGGCACTCTTTTCTCTTTAGAGTTAATATTTCCAAAATTTCAACTTCTGTATCTAGTCTCAGCCACCTCTCTACTTCTATAGCCTGTAACATTCAAATTTTTAATTTATCATGGAAAGAAATTTAGCATCTTCTTTATCTCATATTCAGACCTCACTAATGCCCAAGAGATACAGTGGTTTCAATAGAAAAATTTTATTAAGGTCAATCAGTGTGTTTTCCTAAATCAATGAACCAAAGAACAAACCTCTATGGAATAAAATTATGTTACTTCTCTGGACAGTGAAAGTATTTTAGTCAGATTTTGTTTTCAATTTAATAGCAAATTCTTTTTCAGAAATAATAGATGTTTTAAAATGTAGGGTAAGGAGTATGAAAAATATTAAGTGCAGAGATGGGGTTGCAATTTTTTTTTTTAGTTGCTAGGGAAGCCCTCCCTAGTAAAAGATTTAGATGTAAGGAAGGAGAGCCTGGTGAAAGATAATTCTAGACAAAGGAACAACAACTGTGTAGTCCTTAATTGTCAGTGTCCTTGAGGAAGAGCAAAGAAGCCAGTGTGCTTGAGCAGAATGAGGAGGCAAGTATTAGGAGACATAAGAAAATATATTGGAAGCCAGATCATGTAATGCTTGTCTGGTGGATGTCTATAAGTCATAGTTTGTTCGAAAGAGTTTCAGTGTGCCTTTTTTTTTCCAGCATAATTGTCTGTTGCCTTCTTTTACTCTCAAAAGTGTTTTGGCTTAAATAATAAATGATATGGTCACTCTACTTATGATTTGTGATGTTTAATTTTATTTGTCAACATGATTGGGTTGACAGAGGCTCAGATAGCTGGAAAAATGTTATTTCTGGTTCAGTCTGTATTTCTAGAGGAGATTAGCATTTGAATTGGTAGACTGAGTAAAGAAGATCCACCCTCACTAATGTGGGTGAGAATTATCCATTCCATGTGGACCCAAATAGAATAAAAAGGTGGAGAAAGGGTGAATTCTCTCTTTCTCTCTCTTGTTGGGCTAGGACATACATTTCTCCTTCCTTCCTTCCTTCCTTCCTTCCTTCCTTCCTTCCTTCCTTCCTCCCTCCCTCCCTCTTTCCTTTCCTTTCCTTTTCCTTTCCTTTCTCTTTTCTTTTCTTTCTTTCTTTCTCTCTCTCTCTCTACCTTTCTTTCTTTCTTTCTCTCTCTCTCTCTCTCTTTCTTCCTTCCTTTGTGTTTCTTTCTCTCTCTCCCTCTCTTTCTCTCTCTCTTTCTTTCTGTCTCATTCTGTTGCCCAGGCTGGAGAGCAGTGATGTGATCTCAGATCACTGCAACCTCTGACTCCTAGATTCAAGTCATTCTCATGCCTCAGCCTCCCAAGTAGCTGGGATTACAGACACCTGCCACCATATCTGGCTAATTTTTATATTTTTAGTAGAGACACAGTTTTGCCATATTGGCCAGGCTGGTCTCGAACTGCTGACCTCAAGTGATCCCCCAACCTCAGCCTCCCAAAGGGCTGAAACTACAAGCATGAGCCACCATACTGGGTCTTCCATCTCTCTTTTCATAGACTAGGACATCCATCTTCTCCTGCTTTTGGACTTTGGTTCTTGAGCCTTCAGGCTAGGACTGGTAGTTACACCACTGGCTCCCCTGGTTCTCAGGCCTTTAGACTCAGACTGAATTACACCACTGTCTTTCCTGGTTCTTCAGCTTGTAGATGGCAAATGATGAAACTTCTCAGCCTTCAAAATGATGGAACTTCTCAGCCTTCATAATCATGTGAGCCAATCCCATGATAATGTAAATTAATGTTTACATCAATATATATAGCCTACTAGTTCTGTTTCTCTGGAGAACCCTTGGTTCTGTTTCTCTGAAGAACCTTTGGTTTGTTTCTCTGGAGAATCATTGTAAAAACTTTAGCTGATTTTTAAGTGAAATCAGAAGCCACTGTAGAATTTTGAGTAGAAGCATGACATGAATACATACATTTCAAAAGACAGAAATTAATAAATTAGAAAAATATTGGGAACTTCTTCACACATATGAAAATTATCAACATGAATGTCAGGAGTGAGAGCTGCATTGAGCCAAATGTTTCAGTGATTTGGAGAATGAACATACTTCAGTTACAGCAAGAAGCTGAAAAGAAAGTTACATTTTCTCAAGGTACTTACTATACAGTACCTGCGATGTAGACAGTAGGAGTAATGTCACAGAGCACAGATACAGGAGCCAGATGGACTTGAGATTGAATTTGACTACCAAATATGTGAACCCGGGGGAAGATGCTTAAACTTTGTAAGACTCGTTTCTTCTCTTCTGCAAAATGAGACTAATATATTTACCTAATTTTTGTAAGAATGAGTGGGAATAGCAAGAATCAAGAATCTAGCATGGAATCTGACATATCAGTGTCAAATAATGGTGACTTGTAGCCAGGTGCTAAGGCAAGTAATTAACTGTATTACATTATTACTATTATCAAAAAACATTACTGAGCACATTCTGTGCAGAGGCTGCAGAGATAAATGGACTTATTCCTTAATTTTTTCCTCTTAAAATCAACATGTTGTCATGTTATTTCTTTGCTCAAAATTCTATAACACTTCTTGATTTCACTTAAGATAAAAGCTGAAGTTTTACAAAGCTAGAGTAAAGGATTTTTCTGTGCAAATATATTAGGTTGGTGCTTGCTCTCTTCAAATCAAGGCAAAATTGAGACTTCCACTTCAAGGCAAAATGAAATAATATAGACCACATTTACATCCTCCTTAAAATAAGAAACACAGAACAAACAAATTGGCAATGATTTTCAAGATACTGAATATCAAATAGCAAAAACCCAATATTCTTTGAAAGAGGAGAAACAATATGGTGTTTTGGGGGTTTGGGGAGGAGTCTTCCAATCAACCTAATTTACTGCCTTGAGAGTGTTTCCAGACTCAGTGAGGAGAATACTGGTTGCAGCCTGGCAGACTCTGCCAGGAAGGGACAGAGCTGATAGTTCAGGAAGAACAAGGCCACTAGCATTTACAAGACAGAGTACAAGAGAGAAGAAAGAGAACCCTGAGATTTGCAGAGAGCTCCTCATGCTATGTTCAGCTGAGTACTAATCAGCCAGAATGAAAGACACATGAAGAAGAGAGAGAAACGTTTTCACCAGTTGATTTTACACAGGTTGTTTCAGAGCTATCATACTGCTGCGTTTTCTGCTAAAGGTCTTAGGAGGGTTGTTGCAGGAAGTCAGGGACCCTGAACCGAGGGACCAGCTGAAGCCATGGCAGAAGACCATAAATTGTGAAGATTTCATGGACATTTATCAGTTCCCAAAATTAATACTTTTATAATTTCTTACACCTGTCTTTACTGCAATCTCTGAACATAAATTGTGAAGATTTCATGGGCATTTATTAGTTCCCCAAATTAATACTTTTATAATTTCTTATGCCTGTCTTACTTTAATCTCTTAATTCCGTCATCTTTGTAAGCTGAGGAGGTATGTCACCTCAGGACCCTGTGATGATTGTGTTAACTGTACAAATTGTTTGTAAAACATATGTGTTTGAACAATATGAAATCAGTGCACCCTGAAAAAGAACAGAATAACAGCAATTTTCAGGGAACAAGGAAAGATAACCATAAGGTCTGACTGCCTGCGGGGTCGGGCAGAATAGAGCCACATTTTTCTTCCTGCAGGGAGCCTATAAATGGACGTGTGAGTAAGAGAAATATCACTGAATTCTTTTCCCAGCAAGGAATATTAATAATTGATACCCTGGGGAAGGAATGCATTCCTGGGGGGAGGTCTATGAACAGCTGCTCTGGGAGTGTCTGTCTTATGTGGTTGAGATAAGGACTGAAATACTCCCTGGTCTCCTGCAGTACCCTCAGGCTTACTAGGATTGGGAAATTCCAGCCTGATAAATTCTAGTCAGACTGGTTGTCTGCTCTCGAACCCTGTTTCCTGTTAAGATGTTTATCAAGACAATGCATGCACGGCAGGACATAGACCCTCATCAGTAATTCTAATTTTGCCTTGCCTTGTGATCTTTATTGCCCTTTGAAGCAATAAAGGTGATCCTGATGTAGGTGATCCTGATGACCTATTCCCTGTTCGTACACCCCCTCCCCTTTTAAAATCCCTAATAAAAACTTGCTGGATTTGCGACTCGGGGTCACCATGATGATCCTACCAATATGTGATGACACCCCTGGGGGCCCAGCTGTAAAATTTCTCTCTTTGTACTCTTTCTCTTTATTTCTCAGACTGGCTGATACTTAGGGAAAATAGAAACGACCTACGTTGAAATATTGGAGGCTGGTTCCCCTGATAGAAGGTAGTGCCAAAATAAGATCTTAAAGAAAAAAAAACAAGTAGTGGTGTCTTTGGAGGAACTGCTAAAACTAGAGGTACATGAAATGAGAATACTAATAAGTGGTTTCCACAAGATGATGATTGGGGTCCAGAGGAAGCTATTGATTCCAAGCAATATGACAAGGCATCAGGAAGCCTCCCTACTTGGAGATCAATATTTTGTCTTGCCAAAAACATGTATTTTAAAGGGAGAAGGAGTATGCTTGCCTTCCTCTGGTGGAACAGGCTTTGATATAAAATGTCTAAAGCAGTGTTTCTCAAATGTGAATCTATTATAAATAAGATTCATCTGGGAAATCTTGTTAAAATGCAAATATTCATCCTCAGTAGATCCAGGATGGGACCAAAGATTCTACCTTTCTAAGTTCCTATGTGGAGCCTCTGTTGCTGATACATAGTTCACACTTCCACTAGTAAGGGTCCAAAGTTTTAAAATGCTCTATGTGCTCTAAGTATATTAGGGGTCTTACAAATCAGTTAGTGAGGTTTATGTTTTCCTCCTATCTAGGTATATACACTGTATCTACTATACTAATTAGTATGTATTCTCAAGAAAGGAAGTCCCCTAATGGAAACACTGTATGAAGGATATCAGAGTAGTAAACCTTTTCCATAAAAAGAAGTTAAGTAGGTAGCTTTATAAATTATCATGATACAACACACACACATATATATAGGCTTAATATTGGATATCCCTTGCCTTAAGTATGTAAATCAGTTTCATCTTGATTTACTGATAGAACCTAATAAGAAAAGAATCATAATAAGATTATCAGCTGTTTACACTCTACTCAAAAATAGAAATGGTGTAATAGAAAAGTGAAAATTGTGAAAGTTAATCTTTTGACAATAGAATGTCATTTATGTGTTTCTACATTGTATGCTAACTCAGTTCTAAATAAAGCAATAGAAACTATAGATAAACATCAACCTCAACCATTTCTTGTATTGCACACCTTGACAACTGCCTACACAAAACTTTTCTGAAGATACTCAGACAATTTGAACCAAAGTAAAAAAAAAGTAATTTTTAAAAAATCATCACAGATCACAAGTGTCCAGTAGGACACTGATCTTAGAAATCTACTGATATCACTTGGTGTCCAAGCAAGATGCTATAATACTGCTATTATCTTAGAAAACTGAAGGAAGCCAAGGAAGTGATGAAGTATAGAATGGTGTCATTTCTTCAAGGCACTCTTCAATAGTAGAATGGGAGTTTTATAATCACTAAAACACAGAGAGGCTGGAGAGAAACAGCTTATTGTTAAGGAGGGCACTGAATCAGTAACAGGTGTTTTAAATCTTTCTGAGTCATTGGTACACCTAAGAGCCAGACTGGTAAGGTATTGGAATTCTGTGACTTACAAGAAAAAAAAAAAACTATGATGTTTACAAGACTGGCCTGATTGAAGTAAATTTTATGTAGCTTATTTCATGATGGGATTTGTGGAATAGTGACGTACCTGTTGTTTACATGTATTCGTATTCTGATTTGAGTTAAGCTCCTATTCCAGTAACTTTAGTAGGTACTAAAAGTGGTGAGTTTTTCCCCTATTCTGTCACTGCCTCCCACTTTGCACGCCTCTGCCAGCTGTGAAATTTGCTGGGGATTTGGCATGGCCACTGGAGGTCATTATTCAGTACCAGATCTTAGAAAGGCCATTTTCCATTTATTTTCTATGGAATGTAATTAAAAGACCAGTGTTTCTTAAAATTTACTGGGAAAGGTTCCCATAGACTTTGGAGGGCATTTTGTCTTTTTTATTAGGTGCAGCTCATCTCACTGAAAAATAAAAAGAAAATATGTCATATTGGAACCAAATTACCCCATTGATAGGGTTTGGCTATTCTGACTTTTTAAAGAAGCAAAGGAAAGAATAGTCTCTATTGAGTTAGCCAACTGAATTCTGCCTAATTTTCAAGTCATCTGGGCAATACAACTTAAAGCACCAAAGGAAGTAACGCATATGTGTTGTGCATTCAGTGTCAGACAATTACAAAGATACAATTTTAAGAAATCGATTTTATTTATTATACTATGGGAGCAATAAAAGCTTTCTGGCTTGAATTTTTTCCTCCCTTCCTCCCTCCTTCCCTCCTTCCCCACTTCCTCTCTGTCCCTTCCTTCCCTTCCTTCCCTTCCCTCCCTTCCCTTCCCCTTCCTTCCTTTTCTTCCTTTCCTTCCCTTCCTTCCCCTTCCTTCCTTTTCTTCCCCTTCCTTCCCTTCCTTCCCCTTCCTTCCTTTTCTTCCCCTTCCTTCCCCTTCCTTCCCTTCCTTCCCCTTCCTTCCCTTTCTTCCCCTTCCTTCCCCTTCCTTCCCTTCCTTCCCCTTCCTTCCCTTCCTTCCCTTCCCTTCCCCTTCCTTCCTTTCCCTTCCTTCCCCTTCCTTCCCTTCCTTCCCCTCCCTTCCCCTTTCTTCCCTTCCTTCCCCTTCCTTCCCCTTCCTTCCCTTCCTTCCCCTCCCTTCCCCTTTCTTCCCTTCCTTCCCCTTCCTTCCCCTTCCTTCCCTTCCTTCCCCTCCCTTCCCCTTTCTTCCCTTCCTTCCCCTCCCTTCCCCTTCCTTCCCTTCCTTCCCTTCCCTTCCCTTCCCCTTCCTTCCCCTTTCTTCCCTTCCTTCCCCTCCCTTCCCCTTCCTTCCCTTCCTTCCCTTCCCTTCCCTTCCCCTTCCTTCCCCTTCCTTCCCTTTCCTTCCCCTTCCTTCCCCTTCCTCCCTTCCTTCCTTCCTTCCTTTCATCTACCTTTAAAGTTAACAGCACCACCCATAACAACCAAGATGCCAGGATATTCCCTAGGTGGAGTTGATCTTTGGATTTAATTTTATTATTTTATTGATAGTATATGGCCTTTCAAGATTCAGCCTCTAAAATATGCCACTATTAAGAAATTCTGGCTGGGCGCGGTGGCTCACTCCTGTAATGCCAGCACTTTGGGAGGCCGAGGTGGGTGGATCACCTGAGGTCAGGAGTTCGAGACCAGCCTGGCCAATATGGCGAAGCCCTATTTCTACTAAAAGTACAAAAATTAGCCTGGCGTAGTGGCAGGCGTCTGTAATCCCAGCTAATCGGGAGGCTGAGGCAGGAGAATCGGTTGAACCCGGGAGGCGGAGGTTGCAGTGAGCTGAGATCATGCCATTGCACTCCAGCCTGGGTAACGAGAGCAAAACTCCGTCTTAAAAAAGAAGAAAGAAAGAAATTTCAAGCCCATCTTGTAATCTGGATGATTGGTAAATGTCTGTCTACATATTCTGTTGCCTCTTTTTTTTTGTAATGTTACATTTTTTCAATTCAATTGAGAAAATACTTATTGAGTGCCAAGAATTTGCACAGCATTTTGCAATGAATGATTGGTGATGCCAAAATGATGAGAGATGTTCTCTGCTAATTTATGGAGCAGATAATTATTTCCCCAAAACCCCAAAATTTATAAGACAAATTCTGAAATGCACAGTAATTATTTATTTCTACATTTGCTAAATTCATGCTATATGAAAGGCATTTTGAAAAGCAATGATCATATTAGACAAAAAGACCCAGGCCTTATCTTTAAATATCACATAATCAAAATTTAGACACACAAAGAAGCACGGAATTAGAGACTATAACAATTGCTATAAAGAACATAGGCACATATACAGTGTGCCTCTGAGCCATATATATATGTGCCTATGTTCTTTATATATATTATCTATATCTATATCTATCTATCTATCATCTATCTATCTATCTATATATAACATGTATTGGGTCTACACATATGTGGCACCATTTCCATGGCAGACAAAAATATCAGATTATAACACTGCTAAGCCTGGACAGAGCTCTTTTACCAGCAGTACTCCAAGCAGTCACTACAGTTTGAGTGACATTGACAGAACAAAGCTATTATCCATTTTTATCTGTATCTATCTATATATCTATCTAGATATGTATCATTCAATCATACAGTGAGTAGATATTAAATCATACCTATCTATTCTGTTGCACACCTTGACAATTGTCTACACAAAACTTCTCTGAGGATACTAAGACAATTTGAATCAATGTAGAAAAAAGTAGTTTCTTTTAAATCATCTCAAATCACACGTGTCCAGTAGGACACTGATCTTAGAAATCTACCAAATATCAATTGGTATAATTCAATATACATATTAATTAAACATGTATAGTACATATTTAAGTATTAAATATATATAATATATATCTAGGTTAATTCACGTGTATATTTAATGATAATTTAACTCTGGTTTAGTTTGCAATGGGACATCTTTACAATTTTTTATCCATATTTTAAAGAAGTGTTGTATTTGTTTCTCTGCACAATCATAGGGCTATATTTTTGCTCCTATTCCCTGTCGAATCAATTGCCAATTCTTATGAATGCTTTTCTTTGTAACACATTAGTTGCCATTCTGTCTGTGAAGTTCTTGATTCCTCATCAATCTAGATCCTCTTATTTTCCCTACTTTATTTCTATGGTGGCCTTCAAATTTTACTCCTTGATTTAATTCCTTTAGTTCTATAATAAATGTCTATTCTACCTCATACATTACTTTCAAATTGAGAAACAAAAGTATCTTTCTATCTCCATAAATTTTAATCTTAACTCTTTAATCTAGCTATTAAGGCCCACCCCAATCACTATAATTTTAACTAACAGCACAGCCAACATGAATTGACTGTAAAGTTTACAAAACACCTTCATATTGTGATCATGATGTCAATCTAGGTAACATGCATTACTTTTCTCTGAAAGATAATGGCTTTCCCTAGGTAACAGGGCAATTGATGACATCTCAAGATAAATTTACGTCTTCTGTTTTCAAGTGTAGATTTTATACAACTAATGTAACACTCATTTAATCAAAATATTAAGCATGCTTTTATGGGAAATCTACTAAAATTTTCCATTAAGGCAGGTGAAGATTTTATTTCTATTCAGCTTAAATTTTCTGCAAAGGTTTTCATGTGTATGTGTGAACTGATTATTAAATAGTCTGTAACTAAATGTCAGCTAAATGTAAACCACCGTGGCATAGCCCTTGCTAACCTCTTCAACTGCATCTCTCATCATTATTCTCCTCTTACTCAAGATACCACCCATACTGAACTACTTTTCGGTTCTAAAAAAGCTTAGCTCCCTCATAAGTGTTTCTCATTTTTTCCACCACCTTCCATACACTTAGGTTTCAAAACTCCATTTGGGCCTCACTTTCCTGCGAATCTTGTCTCCAGTCTGAACTAGGGGGTCCTTTTGTTTCTGTTTACTTTTGCCCACTACACATATCTTTAACACACCTATTATTTTGCTATAGTTTAGTTGCCTTTTAACATCTTAGTTTAGTTTTGTTTTTTTACAAACAGGGTCTCACTGTGTTGCACAGGCTGGGGTGCAGTGGCTATTCACAGCCTGGATCATGGTGCACTGCTGTCTCAAACTCCTGGCTTCAAGCAATCTTCCCCCCCTCAGCCTTCTAAGTAGCTGCGACTATAGATGTGTGCCACTGCACCTGGCTTTTTCTCAATAGGTTTTAACTTGAAAGCAGGAACTGTGCAGCAATGGACACAGTAGTTACTCAATAAAATGTTGTGCAGTGAGTAGATGAACTGCCTCTGTATCGAACCTCTCAAACTTCATATTTTCAAGTTGTGTTCTGCATTAAATTCTTTCATGTTGCTCATGCTTCCTTTGCTGACATTTAAAATGTCTCCTTTTCCCAATTTCATGTATTAATTTCCCTTCTTCCTTTATCACCAGTTCCTAACGTGTGTGACCTACACCTGTGCTATAGCTTCTACTCATTTCTGTTTTAATCCTCTGGAAATCTGGCTTTGAAAACCACCTGGCTGGTGAAATTATTCTCCTAATATCACCACCTGCCTACCCAAATTCAATAACCTTTTCTCAATTCATGTTTTATTAAATCTCTCAAATTCTTTAGACTCTTTGATTGATAAGCCTCTTTATGATTCTTGTTCTTCAGCTCTTCCCTGCTGGTTTCTCTTTCTCCGCAGCTGGCACATTTCCTCCTGATTTATAACTGTGGTTTATACTTGAACATTGGTCCTGTGTCTCCTGCTCTTCTCCTTAAGTATTCACATGATATGGCCCATTTCTCCTCATGGTTTCAAGTACCACTTCTCACATGACTCCCCGACTTCTCACCTTTGCTTCAGTCCCATATGTGCAACTGCTAAACGGCAATATGAGTTTGTCACCCTGACGTTATTTGAAACTCAATGTTTCCTAAGGAAATATTATATTATCTGAAAGCAGTTACCCTTCTGAATATGCCCATTACTGCCAATATAATGTCTTTAGTTTTAGTTTCTTGTACTTGAAAACTTGGAAATGCATAAATTTCTGTTTTTTTTCTTTTACCAATTAGATTCAATTATTCCTAGAGTTTTCTTATATTGATAATAAAATTGTTAATGTTTACTTTTTTGGCCCTTTAATAATTGTTCAGTGACTTATCATTTTCTACTTACTACATTTAAATCATATATGATTTGAATAAAAATCTTGGCTCCTTGTCTAGCTGTATAGCCAAGGGGAGTTGTTTAACTACTCTAAGCCTTGGTTATCTCAATTTGTCAAAATTGACTATAATAGTACCTAGTCATACAAATAATAGTTTATAGAAATATTTTGAGAATTAATACATATAAAATACTTAGCACAATTCCTAACAAGTAAAATCACTCACCAAGTAATAGACATTACCGTATTTCATCTTTTAAATGATACATTTTTTCACATTTTAATGCCTCAATAATCAGATTGTGTTTTATAGCGAATAGTATGTCATAGACTATGTGACAGAGTTCATTTACTCCTGATTGTAAAATAATTGATACACAATAGTGTATCTTTCAATCGATGTTTCTACAATTCAATGAAATAAGGTAATATTATTATTAGTGTTATTATTGCACCAAAAATGAGTACAGTATTAAGTGGATTTTATTACTTTCAACTTAAAAATAATAATATATTGCTGTACACCTACATTTCCTAAACATCACTTTTATCCTTTTACTAGCTGGATAAGGTTTTATGTGGTCCTTTCTCCATGCCTTCAGTTTTTAATATTCTCTAGCACTTAAATTTCCATTAAATATTAGTAGGTTCATTGCTACCTACTATTGCCCCTAGTCTTCATTAATTTGTACAAATTGTTCTCCTTACTCACAGCCCTCTGAAAATTCTCACACCCATTTCCTCTTCCATTCATTTGACCCTGTGACTCCTCTCTATATGAGTCTTCCTTCCCTACCTATTTAAATATTACTCATCCTCATGGATCCGATTTAGTTTCAATAATTTTTCTATTGAAATATTATTGTTAGTTTGAGAAAAGTTTCCAAAAAAGTTAAACTGCTCCACATGTACGTTTTAACATTTTACATACACACACACAGCAGGGTTAAACAATTTCAGAATGTTTTTCTTGTCCCATTGATAGTGTGTGTATTTAATCTTTTTTTCACCTAATGTTACAGCATTGTTATGCCATAGGATAGTTCCCTTCATGAATTTATCTGAAATAATTTTTCTCCCTCCTTGAATCAGAAAAAGGCAGTATCATTGCCTTCTTGCTGCAGTGATTATTCAGACATTTTGCCATTTTTCCAGATACTGTCGTGGTAGGTACCCCTTATCTTTAACATTTCTTTCTGAGGGCCATATAAGGAAGGGCTCAAGCCAAGTGCGAAGGAGACTATCAACCTCTGGTGCACAGCTAACATATCCAGATAGAACTACAGGCTTGGCAGCGGGCAGAAAGCTGGCAGAGGGAACGGAGAGGACACCTGCTCCCTGAGTGATGTTTGTTCCCTAATGAGAACAGAAGAATGGCTACATGTCCTAATTTTGACATTCTGAGTGTCCATGATAAGATGATAGTCAAGCTTTTGGAAAGATAAAACTTAAATATTTTATCTTCAAATATATGTGCAATATGTTTCTAAATGAAATAAATAATGCAAATATCAGGAATTAACTTAAAATTAAGCTATTTGTAGGATTTATTTTAAGAAAAAATATACCTTTGTCTGATTGATATAGACTATTAATTGACTTGGTTTAAAATACTACTGTCCCTCTGAAGATAGGGTTAAATTTTAGCTGGATACAAAATAGATGAAACACTGTGGAAAGTTATTTTGAACAACCAGCCTATATTTATGCATGATAATTATTTATACACTTGATATTTAGTAATGCAAAATAATAAGAAATCGAATGCCAGTGCTTTAGATTGATGTCAACTGTATTGTGTACCCTTAAAAAAGTCAGACTTACTAGAAGCATATTTTAAATGTGTTGTTTTTAAGTAAATATATGCACATTTCTTTATTCACTAAGCTTGCCTAGTCTTATTAATTCAAAACTATGTAAATTATTGTTAAATAATTTAATATCTTCATATTTGATTTATTTTCTTTATATTGCATCCACCCTGTCTTTGATGGGATATAGCTTACCTTGCTAAAACTGACAAAATTCAATCATTTTAATTAACTTCTCTTATTTTTATTTTCCCTCAATCACAGAAATCCTTGAAAATGGCTTTAGGAATATATTGAAATTGTTCTTTAAAAACTCAGTTAGGTCTATCTGTTGTATACATGTATACAGGTTGCCAAAAGGAATTTACTACAATGTAACTGAAAGTTGGTATAATTTGTCCGTTCTTCTTTTAACTCAATATTTCTGATTTTGTGCCTGCAGTATAATTTTGTAGATTAAAACATCAAAATCCTCGTTTTAATTACTTCAAACAGATAAAAGTAGCACAATTTATTTATTATTAAGGAAAAATACATTTTCCTTAAAAATAATTAGAATGCTATATTTATTCTGAGTCTGAGTCTAAAAATGAATCATAGCTATTAGCATGAGCATTGAAGAAAATTAGGAATAAACTATTTTGGAAAAGCCTCTATAAACAGGATATGCTTTCTGCTATGCTCTATATACTCTGTTTCTTTAAGGATCCATTTCACCCCACATGTACATACTCCCTGAAGCTATAATTTATGATGGAGGGTGAATATAAGACCAATGAGCAGTTTGATTATGATGAGAGAGGAGTAAGAGGGAAGAGTACATGCATGGGCACTGAGCTCAGCGTTCCTAATGAGAAGGAGAGAGAAGGGATCAGACTCACCAACAAAAATGAGCACAATAAAAAGATTTGGTATAATCCAAGAATCAGTTTCCTTTACTTCATGATTTTGCTGAGGGAAAAGCATGAGAAAGTCCTATTTACCACTCTTATTAATTGAATTGTATTCCTTTCAAATGATATGCTGAAGCCCTAAACCCCAGAACCTGAGTATGTGACCTTATTTGGAAACAGTGTCATTGCAGATTTAACCAAGTTAAGATGAGGTCACTAAGGTGGCTTTTAATCCAATATGACTATTGTCCTTATACAAAGAGAAAATTCGGACCCAGAGGCAAAAATGCACAGGGAAAAGATGATATGAAGACACAGAGAAAAAATAGCCATGCGATTGGAGTGATACATCTATCTACAAGCGGATAAACTCTAAAGATTGCTGATAAACCAGAAGCTAGAGGTAAGGAAGTATTCTTTTCAGTCACAGAGCAGTTATGGCCCTGCTGATACCTCAATTTTAGGCGTTAGTCTTTAGAACTGTAAGGCATTAAATTTTTGTTTTTTAAAACCACTGTTTTGGCACAGATCTAGCAAACTAATATTTTTTAGTTTCTAAATCATCTTCATGATGACTTACATATTTTTCAGTTTTCACTGGGCTTTTACTCTATGCCTCAGCTCTTAACAGATAACCATGCATTCACTAGTTTTCAAAAAGCCCATTTCATTTGTATCACCATCAATTCAAAGGATAGGAATTTATATTACATCAATGTAAAGAAAAACATGTTAGGGTAAAAATAAAATTATTTCTAATGAAAATAAATTATTTTTATACACATGTTTAGTTAAGATAGCTATGTATTAAAAACTAAAATACACTCAGCTTCCTCACTATCCTGGGTCTCTTCACAGGAAACTCTCTTTTGCCTTGACCTACAGGAGTGCCTGTAGTGAGTGCCTGCAGCGCTAAAGCACTTGAGACCAGCTAGAGACAAAGAATGGGGATGGGGCTAGCAGTAGCCAGAATGTCAGTATGGCTGCTCTCCATTCTCACCAGAGGAAACACAAAATCAGAGAGGCTGTTGAGCAATGCCATGTTTCAGGAAGAATGGTCTATGGGTTGTGTAGGCATGATTCCCTAGCTGGTGTTTCCACATAGCTCAGGTAACTTTCTTGGGTCTCCTCTAGGCCTATCCAAGTTAAATGCTATGCCAACCTCAGAGCCCACAGTAGACTTGCAGCAAACCTGGGTTTAGGGCTCCATCTAGTGCTGAAGAAAAGGCAGTAATCTCAAACTAAGAAACACTGTATCAATCAGCACAGTATGTCTAGACAGAATATAATAAAAAGTTGGACACAAAGCCTATAGCAAAGACTGGAACAAATAGTTTTTAAATTTTTAAATCCATAGACATTGATATATATCCATAAGCGTCAAGAGCAATCAGGAAAATATGACCTCATCAAATGGACAAAACAGGATACCAATGACCATAAAGAAGTGGAAATATGTGAACACTCAGACTAGGAATTCAAAATAGCCGTTTAAAGGAAAGTCAATAAACTCCAAGAAAACACAGAAATAATTCAGAACTTTAAAAATTTAAAAAAGTAATTGAAATTATTAAAAAATCAAATAGACATCAAATAGCTGAAAGATACATTGAACAAACTGAAAAATGCAACAGAGAACATCAACAGCAGAATTGATCAAGCAGAAGAATCCATGAATGCAAAGACAGCCTATTTGAAAACACAGAAGAGGAAAAAGAAAAAAATAATAAAGAGGAATTAAATCTTAAGATATCTATGGGACAACATCTAAAGAGAAAATGTACTAGTCACTGGTATTCAAGAATAAGTGAGGATGACAAAGGGGTAGAAGGAATATTCAAAGAAATAACAAGCAGGAAACTTTCCAAATGTGGAGAAATAAATATCCAGGTATAGATAGGTCAAAGATCACCAGTCAGATTCAACCCAAATAACCCTACTTCAAAGCATAAAATAATCAAACTCTCAAAAGTCACAGACGATGAGTAGATCCTAATACTAGCAAAAGAAAATAATCAAATAACATAAAAGGAAGTTTGAATATTCTTGGAAGCAGACTTCTCAGCAGATACCTTAGAGGACAGGAGGAAGTAAGATGGTATTTTCAAAGTGCTGAAGAAAAAACAAACAAACAAGTAAACAAACAAACAAAACCTCCTAATCAAGAATACTGTACCCAGCAAAGCTATTCCTCAAACATGAAGGAGAAGTAAAGACTTCCCCAGACAAACAAAGCTAATGGAATTCATCACCACCCAACCTGTCTTACAAGAAATTCTAAAGGGAGTTCTTCAACCTGAAACAAATGGATGCTAACCTATAACACAAAAGCAGCTGAAAGTATGAAGATCGCTGGTAAAAGTCAGTACACAGATAAATTCAGAATTTTTTAATATTACAATCATGGCATGTAAACTATATATATAGTTTATATATGGTATATATATATAGTATATATATTTCACTCATACACTATATTTACACATATGAAGATAAGACAAAACTTAAAACTAATAACTATAATAACTTATTAAGAATAGACAACATTAAAAGATATAAATTCTGACATCCAAAATTCAAAATGGGGGAGAATGGAGTAAAAATGCAGATTTTTGCACTTTGGGAGGCCGAGGTGGGCGAATCATCTGAAGTCAGGAGTTTGAGACCAGCCTGGCCAACATGGTGAAACCCCGTCCCCAATAAAAATACAAAAAATTAGCTGGGCGTGGTGGCAGCACCTGTAATCCCAACTACTTGGGAGGCTGAGGCAGGAGAATCACTTGAACCCGGGAGGCCGAGATGGCACCACTGAACTCCAGCCTGGGCAACAGAGCAAGACTCTGTCTTAAAAAAAAAAAAAAGTAGATTTTTTTGTTAATTGTTTTTTGTTTAAAATAGTCTTTTATAACGTTAAGATGTTTTTTGTAAGTCTCATGGTAACCATAAAGTAAAAACTTATAATAGATGCATTTAAAATAAAAAGCAAAAATTTGAAACGTACTACTAGAGAAAATTACTCTACCCCTTTGAATGAAAATGGACTGAATTTTCCAATTAAAAGGCATACAGTGACTGAATGAATAAAAAAAGGTTCACCTATATGTTGCCTACAGGAGGGTCACTTCACCTTAAGAACTTGCATAGACTGAAAGTGAATGGATAGAAAAAGATACTCCATGCAAATGGAAACTGAAAAAGAGCAAGAGTAGCTATACATATATTAGATATAGTAGACTCAAAGACAGTAAAAAAAAAAGACAAGTCCACTATATAAAAAAACACAAAACTAAGACAGTCTATCCTGAGATAATTTTAAAGAGAAAACCTATTCACTAGGCTTAAATGTAAAAATACAACATGGAGAGAAATATGTGATTTTGGACAATTTTTGTAAGCTGCAATTCATTATCTATAAAAAAATTCCTATAACATAAGTGTGTTGTGAGAATTAAATTAGATGATGAAAGTGAACACACTTAGCATGAGGTGATATATGGAATAATTACATAATGTAATTTTATCATTAGTATTCTTATATTTTTCACAACTATGGTGCATTAGGGTTTTGAACTCAGTACTTCTAGGTTTTTGTTTAAAGAAAAACTAAAAGAAAATTCACAAGTCTCTTCAGTTTTTCAATTCTAACGTTTCTAGTTTTATGAAGGTTATTTTCTTATAGAACAATGATTATACTTATGATGAAGTGTCTCTTCCATTGAACCGAGTTCCTTTAAGTGAGTTTATGTACACACCCACACACACATCCATCTTTATCTCCATATGCTATAAAGTGGTTATTAAATCAATGTTAAATAAATGAATGGGGAGATAAAAGCACAAATGAATAGGGATGTGATGGGAACATATTTTTTTAAATAACAATAAAACAAATATTATTGAGGTGTATTAGTTTTAGAGAACTGACATAACAAAGTACCACAGATTGAGTGACTCAAGCAACAGAAATTTATTTTCTCACAGTTCTGGAGGCTAAAAGTGTAAGATCAAGGTGAAGGCAGGTTTGGTTTCTTCTAAGGCCTCTCTCCTAAGCTTGTAGATGGCTGCCTTGTCATTGTCCTCACATGGCCTTTTCTCTGTGTAGCGATCCCTGATGTCTCTCCACCTTCTTATCTCTCCACCTTCTTATAAGGACACCAGTCATATTGTATTAAGACCCACCCATATTATCTCATATAACCTTATTTACCTCTATAAAAGACCTCTATCCAAATACAGTCACTTTCTGAAGTACACTAGGGATTAGGATTTCAATGTATAAATTTAGGGGGATAGGACTGGGCACAATTCAGTCCATACATGAGGGAATTTGTAGAACAATTTATAGTTGATTATACTAATAATATTTTCTCTCTGATTTAGCCATGATACTCTTCACTGCTACAGGTTAAAATAAAGGACAATATTCTCTGGGCCTGTAAATTTTTAATGAACAACTTAGGTGAAATTTACGTAAACTTAGACATCTAACAAGCACGACCTTGAAGGAATGACATATCCAACAATATTTTCTGGAGAAGAGGGTCGAGAAAACTCTGGAGCATAGATGCTAAACGTGAAATGTGAGTCCTAGATGGGACTGACATTTTAGAAGAACGCTATCAGCTATCAAGATATAGAAAATGGTACTGGGCATCTAAGAAAGGAGAGGTTCCTCAGAAGATACTGAGGTCGCACCAAGGTTAGCTCTAATGATATAAGCTCCCAGAAGAAGGAAGAGTTTGTACACTTAGCCCTTTGATCCATCAATTCAACCTGGCTCTCTCTACCTGCTTATATTACTTTTAGCTATAGGCTGAATATATGCAAAAACGATATTCCAAAATACTTTGATCCAAATAGTCTAGGAGTTTATTTCTCCCATAGTTGTTCAGGTAAGGACGACTAGAAAGTTCTGTGTGTTCTTCCAGCTACTGAGGTTCTTCTTAATTATCTTTTTGACCTGCCATCCTGCAGTATTTACAAATATTTAACAACCAGCTTTCCAAGTGTACTTCCAACATGATGAAGTTTTATTTTTCCTTTACATTAAGACAAAAAGTAAAACAATTAAAATACATATTAGACTTTCACTCATTGGTTAATATCATGAGTGGTTTCTTTGTTAAATGAGACAGTATTAGAATGCTGGAAGGCTACTTATTCAATTTTTTGTGCTATTTACAATAGAATGTCTATAGACACAACACATTATAATGTTTAATCTGGATTATTAACATTTTCTTCATTATTATCTTAACTCTAGGAAATCAACAAAACAAGCCTTGATATGTAGCATTTGCTGATTTCTAATTTCTGTGATATAAAGTGCTCCAACCTGGTTGAATTCAAGCTACCAAAGTGACATCATTGAATGTAGAGTTGGGAAGATGTCCTAATAGCATACAATTTATTATCTATTTACAATAGACAGATAATAACATACCATGATATAGTTTTTCCCCATATATAAATAATAAACATTGGTGCACTTTTGAGCACAAAATAATTATGCATTATGTTATATGCAAGGAATATATAAACATATAAGTTAGTTCTCCAGGATTTCACACTCTAGCAAAGTATAATGGTAAGAGATTGTACTTGATAATAAAATGAGCACTGGTGTGAATCTTGATTTTCTACTACCAGCTCTGTGATCTAATAGAATGTAATTAATCCTTCTAAGCCATAATTAATTTCTACATCTGCAAAATGGGAATAATTGTAGAAGTAATTGTAGTTAGGAACTAGCAATCTTCTTTGTGAAGCATTAAGCACAATGTCTGGCATATAGGAAGTGTTATAAACATTAAATTGTATAATTTTTGTTGGATATATGAATTATTCATATATAAGGCCTCCTTGTATACCACTTAAAAGGTAAGGTTACATTAAATATCAGTAAGATCTCATTATAGCTGACAAAGTTTCCATATTTATTTCTATAATCATCCTATAATACATGAAATTCTAATGGTTAATACCAGCCATATTGTTACTTTATTTATTATTGTTGGATATATTATTTCTAGAGGAAAAGAAATTTTACAGACTGAGTTAATAATAGCGGTGGACAACTGTTTTGTAATTGGTAGGACCTCTATAATAATATAGAAACAAGGCTGATAAGGTGGCTGATGTGTTGGGCTACCATATCAGTAACTTATATTCTGATCTTGACTTTACATTTTTTGTCTTATCTTAATGCACGTTCATAAGTTATGAGCATTTCGCTTTTTCCTTCTCATAAAGCATTTTTTTTTCATGGGTGTTATAAGTGTTGTGAGGGCTACCAAATGAGTAAAAATCATTGCTATATATCTTTAAAGCATCTCAAGGAATGGACGAAGCTTCTATCTTAGGGGTCAGAAATTGTAAGGAATACAGATTAAATAATATTTTTCTTGTAGAGTTAACCTCACAGTGATCCTTAAACAGAGCTCATTTAACTCTGAACAAAATTTTCATTACCAGTTTAAATACAGTGATGCTAACCTATTTGTGAACCCTGGTCAGGGCTACTAATCTCATTGTCATTGCTTGTTAAGAACTTACTTTATTCCTATTACTTAGCATGATGACACAAGCTATTTTAATCCATTCACATTTTAACTTAGCAGAGCATACAAGCAAAGCTAACTTGAATTCCAGAAAAAGATCCCAAGTACCTTATTAATGTATTTTTCTCTTAATTGTACAAAAATAAAAAAGTCATGGAAATCAAAAGTAGGACCTTTTTACCTTCGAGGTATTTACTGTAGTTTCAGCATGTATTAGGCATCAATACAGAAAGATTCCTGGACAATACTTGATGAAGTCTACCCCCTCCCATTCCCCATGTTCATAGGAGCATGACCAGCAGACTAACGCAGCAAGCAGATGATGCTCCTGATGAAAAGGGCAGACCCAGTTGAGCCTGGGCTACGCTGACACAGACTTTGTTGCTCTTCATTTGGCAAAGGTAAATCTGAGTTGAGACTTTTCTTTGAAATGGTTGTGTGGCCATAGAGATGAAAAAAAATTATGTTAGCAAAAGTAAAGTAATTTTTTCTTTCTGAATCGTTTATAAAAATCTTCACAGTTAATCAATTTGATTCAGGGAAAAATCATGTATT
The DNA here is from genome assembly GCF_000001405.40 of Homo sapiens. Taxonomy (NCBI): domain Eukaryota; kingdom Metazoa; phylum Chordata; class Mammalia; order Primates; family Hominidae; genus Homo; species Homo sapiens. The sequence goes on along the minus strand of NC_000004.12, from coordinate 137,814,133 downwards.
GTGTATGATTTCCATGTATTTCATCAAATGTTTCATGACCTCTGTTGCCTAAAGGAAAAAAAATAAAGATTTTTCTCTCCACAATGTTTTAAAAATAACTTTCCAGGTTTTATAATATGTAAGAACTCTAATAATTACAAATCAAGTCACTGGATAAAGATGGCATTTGCTAACTTCTCATTCAAACCTACATATGCTGTTTCTAAGGAAAACACTTTGTTGATGTACTCAGACTGCCCAAGTTTCTGAGAAGTCCAAATCTAAAAATATGTGGTTCGATTAGGGTCTTTAATAACTGGTGTGTTTGTGTGTGGGTGCATGCTAATTTTAATGGCTGTCATCTAATTTGTTTTTAAATGTATATTTGACAGGAGTGATTGAATTAGAACAAGGATGCCATGTAAGGATAAAATATATATCCCATATGCTATTTAAGTTGTCTAGTTACAGGATGATGTTAATATCTATTTGTTTCTGAACAAGCTACTTTATTTTATTTAATAGCCTTTGTAATGACTCTATGCCTCTCTTTCTAAATTTGTGAAGTGGCACTTCCTGATGAAGAGCAATTTGTACCCAGTACATATGGAGAGTTATCTGCCTAACACAGATGCCTGAATAGGAATGAAGGAGAATAAGAATAGAAATAGTGGGAAAAATAAGGTCTAATATTTCCAAACAGGAAAACCCAGAAACTATACATGAAAATATAAAAAGTAAAATGCATGCGGCTAAATCTCACATGGCAAAAATGTATAAAACAACATAAGGACTCAAATTTATTTTCATTTTTACTTGAAAATATACATGCACTGGAGTCATGTGGTTACAGGAGCCCAAGGTCTCTCCAGGTGACTTCAAGCTTTCCTTTAAAACAGAATCTAATATTTTGAGAAATCGAAATAAGGATAGTTCCTCATATTTATTTAAAAAATAACAAAAATTAAATCACCTTGAACATCATTATAGATAGCACTTATTCAAAGTTTAATATGTCCTAAACACTTTGCTAGACATTTCAAATCTCTCCCTCATTTGATCCTTACTATCAGGTAGAAACCATGATTATCTCTATGTTACAGCTGAGAAAACTCTTTGAGAGGCAAATAATTTGTGCAGGATCATTTTGGTGTGCAACAGTAAATATGTATCAGTTATCGATTGCAGCAAAGCTTAGTTACATACAACAGACTGGAGGATTTACGTGCTAGGTGGCTGTCTCACAAGGCTTCCAAAATAGTGTTGACTAATGGCTGAGGGCTTGGTTTTTCTCTTTCATGGGTCTCTCCATGGGGTGCCTCCATTTTCTCTACTCACACTATGGTGGTTCGTTCCCAGAAGCAATACCACAAGACACAGGAAGTGGAAGCCTCCACTTTTTAAGCCCTGGCCCCAGAAAATGGCACAGAATCATTTTAGCCATATACTGCTGGTCAACCTGTCACAGAACCTGGGTTTATGGGGAAGAACATAAACCCTAGTATTCAATGGGAGGAATGGCAAAGCATTCGGGGCTCATATTCTTAAACTGCCACGGTATGACATCTTGCCACAAGTTATTTACATTCTCTTCACATGTAAAATACATTTAACCTTTTTCAAACTCCTAAAACATCCTATCTCATTATGAAATTGGTTTCAAGTTCAAAGTCCAGGGTTTCATCACCTAAATCAGATCCATGTGCAGGTGAAGCTCTTGGAATTTGGCTCCTACGGGACAGCCCGTTGAGTATGGTTCTCCTAATCTAAAGATCTGGGAACTAAAGAAACAAGTTATCTTCTCCCCAACACACATGAAGGAGAAAAAATGGCTGATTTTGTGAGTTTAAACAAAAAAGGAGAAATATCTTGGTATAAACATGCTAGAGGAAAAGCTCTAAAAGCATAGTGAATTTTAAAGTAAATTTCACTGAAAGTTTTAAAGTATAAGAGGAAGGAAGGAGAGAATGGGAAAGCAGGGTGGAAAGGGTTTTATTCTTATCCCAAATGAGGCAGAGAGATTATGGGTTAGAATAGAACAGGGGAACAGGCATAAGATAATTTCCATAAACATTCTCATTAAAAGGGAATAACAGGAGGTACACAGCAGTCACTGGTACATGTCCATTGTGAAATCCACTGGGTCCATTTTGATGACTTAGGCCTTTGATAATCAGGCCTCACTGCTGCTCTCAGGGCATTATTCTCTGTGGTTCTTGTTTCCATGCTCATGGCTCACGGATCTGCCCTCTGTATCCTTGACAGCCAGTTTCCTGCCCAAGAAAGCTTAGATATCCCAAAGTCTTTTTTTCCATTTTTGTCTAAGCTGGAGCTATTTTGACCAAAATAATTCTCTTAAAAATTGTGTGGGTTCTCCATGAATATACTTAGGGTTATCTTTTACACAGAAGTCACAACCATACATCATAAAGGTAAGTCCTTCTCTATCTAGGTTCCCTGTGAAGCTTCTGTGACATAACTTGCTTTAAGACTTTCAAAAACCCCACTGTTTAGTTAAGGAGATTTGTAAGACATGCCTTCTTGATTCGTACAGGACTTCCTGTTTGACTGAAAGGGTTTCTGTATTATCACCTCAGTTCTTTCTTAAATATCAACAAGAAATCTTATAATCTCACCCAGAATTAGATTTTAGGCATTAGAGTATTTATTATTTTAAGAATTTTTCGTCGTATGGAAAGATTTGGAAGAAGAAAGAGTTTTTTTTTTTTTTAAGTTTAGCAAGTTCTGGCTCCTTTAGACTTAACATTGCATTCCCTCACCTTGTACCCTCTATCCTCTTGCATTTTATCATAGCTGGCAAGAAGCTGTTATGTAGGATTTTCAGTATTCTCCTAGATCATTAAGTTCATTAAATTCATTTCCTGTTTTTCACATTTACAGGAGACATATTGCCAACATTTCCACCACTACATAGTAAGAGTCCCCTTTCCTCCTGCTCCCAATAACATTTCCCTCACTTTCCTTGAAACCCTCACTAACAGCTTTCTCATTGCTTTTTGGGCTTTTTCATTAATACTCTCTTCAAGGCCCTTCTAGTTTTCACCTGCTGCCCAGCCCCAAACCAATAATACATATTAATTTTTGTTATGGAATCACTTATCTTTCGGGTAACACAATCTGTGTCAATTATCTATTGTGAGCCATCTTAAAAATTTGTGACTTAAAGCAATAACAACCTTTCATTTTGCTCACAAATCTGCAATTTGCACAGGGCTTAGCAGGAATAGTTTATCTCTGCTCTTGAATAGGACGAGTGTCAAAAATTTTGGAACCCTGTTTTAAGACCTCAAAAATCTCCAAATTAAAAATATGAAAAAAAGAAGGCTATTTCCTTTAGAACAATGGCATGATGCTTTTGAACAACACAGCATAGTGGTTAGTATATTATTAGAATTTTCCCATGAGAAATAATTTGCTCAAGGGGAATACCTTTTGAGAAATTTATAAATAATTAACAAACACTTGTATCAAAAAGTATTAAAATAATTGATTTATCATTTAAATGAAGGGATATAGTTTTTGATGAATAGGGAGTCAGATTCAAGACAAAAACCACACTGAGATAAATTCCAATATCTCCTTTTGGAACAGCATATATTGTAGATTTCCTTTTGCTATTTTATCTAATAATTACCTTCCCATTCACGTAATTCAATATCCTTATCTCATCAACTCAATTTTTCCTCTATTTTCCCATTCTATTAACTCACATGAAATCCTCTTTATTTGTTGCTTGGTTAGTTGGTTTTAACTAAGTCATCTTTGCTTATGATATTGCTTATATTCTTTTTATTTTTTTCTAGGACTTTGGTTATATTTCTCTATTATCAATCTTGTTATTGTTTTGCTTTTATTTTGTTTGTTTTCTATTGAATCTACTCTTACATCTACAGAATTACTCAAGTTAAAAAGTTTATTGAACAAGTGAGGGCAACTAGCCATCCAGGTTCTGATATAAATTAAGACGTGTTTCATTAGAAAAGCAGAGTGTTATACAACCCACGGCAATTACACTGTTTACTTAGGTGGTCAGAACATTTATATTCAAGATCCAAATTATTCTTCTGAAGGTAACCAAAAAGTCTCAGAGGTGTTAGTTGTATGACCAAATGAACAGACTATGAAATTCCAATCTTACTTTAAAGGATAACCTCCCCATCCTAATTTCATTTGTGGCTTGCCGTCAAAGGAGAAAGAAAAAGCTGATGTTGTGAGTTAAAATAAAAAAGGAGAAATATCTTGGTATAAACATGCTACAGGAAAAGCTCTAAAAGCATAGTGAATTTTAAAGTAAATTTCACTGAAAGCTTTAACGTATAAGAGGAAGGAAGGAGAGAACGGGAAAGCAAGGAGGAAAGGGTTTTATTCTCATCCCAAATGAGGCAGAGAGACTATGGGTTTGATTGTGGAGAAGAATTTAAAAATGAGAAATTATATCTTACTTTTTTACAAGCACATATACTTTCCCAAATTAGACATTTATGATTAAGTAGGACCTAAAAATTAGAAATTCTCTATTCTGTAAAATGATCACAGAGGATTAAATTTCCAAAGGGAAGTCTAACTATAATTGCTTATGGGAATTTTGCTGAAGATTTTTAGGAATTTTACTAAGGATTTCAAACACTACATAAGTAATTTACAAACATTCTTATTTCTGCTAATATAGTAATTATTAAAATAATTTGAAAAGATAAATTTAAAAGTTTTCTGAGCTTTATAGAAATGTTAACTTTAACTTACCAGTAAATATTAAACCAGCTTCCAGAACAAAAAAAAAGAGATATTTTTCAGTAACTCATTCAGAATGAATTACCTAAGAAATCTTTAATATTTCAAGATTTTCTTTAATATTTAGATGTGTTATAATCCTAACCTCACCAGACTTGTCCCTGAGGCTATATCAGACACAATGTTGACCTGTATTAATGGTTTTTACCTCAAATGGAAATTATTAGAAAGGTCTATCACATTATATCTTAGACAAAAACAAATTGAGCAGCATCCAAACATTTTTTTTTTAAAATAAATTATTTTATAAATATCACAGGCTTTCATTTACAAAAGAAAGCTTCTCACCACTCCTAATCTTTCTTTCTTTATATATGTCGTCCCCATGAATACACTAAGCTCCATTGCTTTTTGTTGTTTTTGAGACGGAGTTTCACTCTTGTTGCCCAGGCTGGAGTGCAATGGTGTGATCTCGGCTCACCGCAACCTCTGACTCCTGGGTGCAAGCGATTCTCTTGCCTCAGCCTGTCAAGTAGCTGGGATTACAGGCCTGCACCACCACACCCGGCTAATTTTTGTATTTTTAGTGGAGACCGGAGTCTCTCCATTTTGGTCAAGGTGGTCTCGAACTCCCAACCTCAGGAGATCCGCCTGCCATGGCCTCCCAAAGTGTTGAGATTACAGGCTTAAGCCACCGCGCCCAGCCCACTGAGCTCCACTGTAAATTTTCATTGGCATAAGAACAAAACATAAAAGGAAATTTGATTTTTTAAAGAAAAGCCTATGAAGTGTTAATCACCTGTCACTTTGCTAGGAATTCATTTATAAACAATGCAGATACTTCAGCTTGCATTGGGTTATGTAACAGTTCATTTTTATTTACTTTTAATTATCACTTTGGAAATATGTGACTAAGTGCAAATTTAGAAAAGGTTTCAGTAAAGGGATCAATGATAAGAGTAATACTGAAGCCATTTCTCTCCTTGCACACATCTGCAAGTCATTACCTAAGCTTTCTGAAATTCATAAAATTACATCTATCTAGCCAAATGGGCAATATTTATCTAAAACATTCATTTTCACCATTGATACATTATTTAACATGTATATGTAATGTGTAGTATTACAGTGATGAACATCATAGTGCCCTTTAACAACCTCAGAAGGCAAAACATCCATGTTACAGCCAGTTAATAAAATGAGGGAAGACATGAAGCAAGTTTGCTTGGTGTTTCTGTCCTGCCTGTCTCTGTTCCAAATGGATACAATTACTTCTATGTCTATATCTATGAATTCCAAGATGATTACAGCTAGAACTGATCATTCTACATGCAGGAACTAGAAGACAAGCAAATATGCATTCACAATAAACTAATTAAAATGCTGTGTTGAGACTGAAAATTAATTAGAGAATGTATGTCTCATATTTTGGTTCCTGAATATTTTTTTTGTTTGTTTTTGACCAACCATTTTTAGCTTTGTGATATTCATTTCCTTTGAATCTTATAGTATCTTGTTCAATTTTTTTCTTATTTCAGACCAAAGTAATTACATGTTCTCTCTCCCTAGAATGCTTAAATATCTCCAAATTCTGTCTTTATCTGCTTTGATCATTGACTCATGGGAACTCACCTTGAACCATGTGTATTCATATTTATGCACTAAGTGTTGCTCGGTGTTCCCGATCTGGATTTCAGTGGTGGCTGAACAAGAGAATCACCTGAGAAACTAAAAAAATACTGTTGCTGTGTTCCATTCAAAATTAATTAAATAGGCCTGGCGTGGGGGCTTACGCCTGTAATCCCCACACTTTGGGAGGCCGAGGCATGCAGATCACATGAGGCTGAGTTCAAAACCAGCCTGGCCAACTTGGCAAGACCTCATCTCTCTTAAAACCACAAAAAAGAGCCATGTGTGATGGTGCACGTCTGTAATCCCAACTACACAGGAGGCTGAGGCACAAGAATAGCTTAAACCTGGGAGGCGGAAGCTGCAGTGACCTGAGATCTCGCCACTGCATTCCAGCCTGGGTGACAGAGTGAGACTCTGTCTCCGGAAAAAAAAAAGAAAAAGAAATCACTATGGGTAAATCCCGACATTAATATTTTTATATATATTTTAGATAGATTTAATGTGAAGCCCATACTGAGAAACATTGCCCTGTATTAGTGCCCTCATACTTAAGTGTGCATAAAAATCACCTGTGGATTTAATCAGACTGTAAATTCTGATTCAGTAAGTCTAGGGTGGAGCCTGAGATTCCAGATTTTAACAAGCTTCTATGTGATGTCAATAATACTGATCTAGCAACCATACTTTGAGTAGCAATGATCTAAATGAAGTAGTTAATTACTTGATTATGTGATTATAATTAACTTTAAAATAATTCTGAAAGAGATATTGCTTCCATAAATACCAGGTGGTGGTTTGGGGGCTGTAATAAAATATTTTAGGAGACACTTTACCTGTGGTCACCTGATAATATCATTTCTCTTCATAGATAATTTGTTGTAAATTGTCATGTTGAGTAATTCTCATTCACTTTTTTCCCCACCTTTCAAAATTTCAGTATATTTCTAAAACTAAAACATACAATATGGTTGATTTGATTACTTGATTTGATTAATCTCTAAATAGGAAGGCATTCATTTGTGCGAGTGTGTGTGTGTGTGTGTGTGTGTGTGATGGAGCTAGGTAGGACTTTAATTCATATTTGAACTATGTTTGAGTAGCCCTTTCATATCTCAGTAACAGCACCGAGAGAACATTATTATTCTGTGGCTTATGCTGTTAAAGAGCAGACTAATCTGTTTCACTTTCTTACATACTTCAGTCTTACTATGTACCTCAAATCTTTTCTCTTCTTTCAAGTATTAGAGATCTCTAAGATACCAAAGGATTTACGACATCTTAGAAATAATCTGTAGCCATATGAGTATGTGGTGACAAAAATATAAACCATGGTTAAAAATTAATTTTGGAAAAGTTAAGAGAATAACCTAAGCTTTATTAAGAGTTTAAATCTAGAGATATGTTCAAGAAAAAAATAAAATCTTACAAGTTTGCCAGTCAATATTAAGACTATTAATAATTAATATTTTTATAATTGAAGCTCCTGACCACTGTCACTTAATCTCATCCTACTTTCTGCCATTATGTAAAATCCTGTGCCTTTCTGCTTATTGTTGATTATTTTATCCTATTACTAATTCCTTCCTTCTACTCCTTCCTACTTAGTGCCATCCAAATCATCTCTTTCATTCTCTTTGTCTGAATAAAAACAGCTAACATTTATAGAATATTTACTCTGCATCTGTCAGATAATATCCCACACTCCTTATAGGTGTTAATCCATTTAATTCTTGCAATGATCTTGAGAAGCAGGTATTATTCTTACTTTACCAATGAGGAAACTGAGATACAAAGTGGTAAAGTAACTTTCTCAAGATGTTACTGCTTTTAAGTGGCAAACTATGATTCAAACCCAGGCAAGCTCTTCACCTGTAAAGCAGAGGTAAGTATTGCAATTCCTCATGATATTATCCTGAAGACTGCATTCTTACACATACAGCTCCCATGGTAGAATATTCACTTCTTTTCTGTCTGTCCCTGTCAGAAGGCATTAAAAAATGAGGAGAGATGCCAGTTTGCTTAACAACAACTTAAACTTATATAGTGTTTAATATATGTTAGGTTCCAGTCAAAACACTTTATATGTATGAAATCAGTCTTCACGACAAGCCCTTTCAGATAAACATTATTTAAATTGGTACTACAGGTGAGGAAACTGAGGCACTGAGAATTGAAGAGGCCTCCCTAAGTTAACACCCTCAGTCATCAGCAGAGTGGTACATGAACCCCGGCTGGATCAGAGTTGGAGCTCTCAGCCACCACACTTTGATTGCCATGGGAATAATGAAGATATACTCACCTTCTTGTCTTGCAAGTAAACCTGACTCTTTTCAAAAGGAAAAAATCGCAAGCTCCCACAATGCTGCTTAGTGATTTATAAATGTGCCATTTCGTTTTAGAATTTAGACATATTTCCCACAAGTAGGCCCTAAGGAATAATAAGACGCCTGTTTGCAAGCTCTATAGCATCTTTAAAATTCTGACCACATCCTGAGTTAGGAAATATAGATTTAAGGTAAATAAATTTTCTACAATCTTTGTCAGTCAACCTTGAGAATGACTGGTAGAATAAATATGTTAAATACCATTTTTATAAGCAATATAAAAAGTGACTGTTAACAGTTCGGAAAAGTCAAACAATCAGTGCCTGCACACATGGGTTTGATTTGGAACTAACACCACTTCAGTGCCACCACGCACCTCCACCAAAGCCGTGCCGCGGAGGGAATACACATCTTTGCGGGCTGACAGATTGCTCTGTTACTACCCACCCCTGCCCTTAAACCATGTGCTTTTTCTGGTTTTATTTTACACTTTTACGAAAAGTTCCCTTTAACTGAGGCAAAGGCAGTTAACCAAAGATATTTCACTGAACTTCATTTATCTTCTTACACTTAAATGGGGTATAAATTACACCAGTGTTTAGCCATACTCCTAGGTGTAATGTAGTGAATTTAATTTTTTAATCAATTATTTTACCTAAAGAAAATCAGGTAGTATTTCTCCAAAAATGTTTAAAGAATCAGTTTTCATAGAGAAGTCTGTGAGTTGCTATAAAGTTTTTAAAAATTATATTTAGAAAAACACGAGAGATTTTCCTACACAGACAAACAAAAAGCTTATATAATGCTTTATTTACTGATGAAATAAAACCACTTTTGTTCAGGACATCATATCTACATTTGAAAGAAAACGTTTGAACAAATTATTTTAACTGTATATTTTCCATCTATAATGACTTATATACATATTGAAAAACTCAGTTATCCATATTAAGCTTTCTCTTTTACTTTCACCAATTTCAGTATAAAGCTTAATTAAAGGAATAACAACTTTAATTGTACAGGGAAGAATTTTCTTTTCGGAGAAGTTATATTAACACAAATTACAAGCTAGATTAATCAAATGCTGATGTCTAAATATTACAAGTTTACTTGTGAAATATCTAGTGATTGATTAGTTTATATAGCAAAGAGTTATGTTTCTTTAAATTTTAAAGAGCTTTTTGTCTCCGCATTTTTCTTTAAGGCTTACTGTATTTTGAATCCTCTAACTTATCTTCATTCAGAAAAATAGGAACTGCTACTGAATATGATTTCACCATCCATGCATTCACTCACTTATTCATTCTTTACTCTATATAGACCTTATGTTAGTCTATTTGTATTACTTAATATACCACAAAATTATATGTAATTGTGTAAACCCATAAATCTGAGTATTCTAAGTCTTTGAAAATAAAAGAATCTTAGTTAATATTGAAATTCTTATTAAACTCTCATCATACATAAGCTCCATACTAACATGCTCTGTGCTGTAGCTGTTAAGGCCCATGTTAGAGATTCATGTGTTTGCTCTTAGGCAATTGACTTTATTCCTCTAAACCACATCTATAAATAGGGGATAATAACGACATCTCTTCCTGGATTATGGCTACCAAGTCTATTACAAATAATATGTGGAAAGGGCTTAGCATATATAGCAAGAGCCCAAGAAATATTAAATGTTATTATTAAAAATTTCAGAGAAATAGCAGGGACTGTAAAATCATGACCTCTCATCTGTGTTTTGGGAAGAAATAACCTGGAGCCCTGAGGTTGTTGGAGGTGGGGGACTCTGTATTTGGCTGGTTTTTGTTGGTACTATCAGTAATGGATTAAATGATCACAAGAGTAGCTTTAAGTTATGTAAAATTGTTATAGGGCTATCTACATTATGGTCTAGATATGTTTTTAATGGAGGACCATTTTGAGTTTACAGATGAAATCCAACTATCGTTCATTTAAATGTAATGTTCCCACTAAACTTAGTTTTGATTATCTTAATTGGTTCTTTATAGACAATTCAGAGGAGGTAAAAGCTAATCTGGGAGATTAACATAACAAAACTTAATTTTATATTGAATTTGAGTTATAATGAGGTATTCTGATACTATCATAAATTAATCATTTTTAATATGAGGAAACACATAGCAGTTATTGGGGGTTATCAGCATAACGATGTGAATTTTATTATAATAATTTGGATACTGCTATGGTTGGTACATGTTCCCTTGAGTTTGTATGTTGAAAACTTAATCCCCAGTGAAACAGTGTTGAGAGGTGGTACCTCTGAGAGGTGATTAGGTCATGAGGACCCTGCCTTCATGAGTGAATTAATGTGCTCAGCGAGGGAATGGGTTATTTTATGTGAGAGTGGGTTTGTTATACAAGCAAATTAAGCCCCCCTTTCTCTCTCCCTCTCATCTTCTTTTTCCTTTCCATCTTCTGCCATCCATGTGATGACACAGCATGAAGTCCCTCACCAAATGTGGTCCCCTCAGTCTTGGACTTCCCAGCCTCCATAACCGTAGGAAATAATTTTTTTAAGTGATAAATTACTCAGTCACAGGTATTCTGTTTTAGCAGCACAATATAGACTAAGACAGATGCTGTATTTATTGTTGTTAGGGACTGAATATTTGTGTTCCTCCAAAACTGATATATTGGAACCATAATCCGTAATGTGATGGCATTTGGAGGTGTAGTCTTTGGAAGGTAATTAGGGTTAGATAAGCTCAGGAGGGTAGAGCACTCATGAAGGGATTAATGCTCTGATTTTAAAAAAGGAAGAGGAGATATTTCTCTGTACGCACCAAGGAAAGGCTACATAACAGCACAACCAGGAGGAAAGCCTTCACCAAGAACTCCACAATGCAGGCACCCCCATCTCAGACTTTCAGCCTTCAGAAGTGTGAGAAATAATTTGTTGTTTAAGCCACCCCATCTATAATAATTTGCCACAGTAGACCAAATAGACTAAGATAATTGTAAAGGGCAAAAGAACATAGACTTATGTTATAGTTTTAAACACAAGTCATATCAGGTCTTCACATGTTGTGTCTCAGTGAGGCTCTTGTTTTTCCTAAAGGAGCCGGGTCCTTAGAAGGACTTCCTTTTTTTTTTTTTTTTTTTTTTTGAGATGGAGTCTTGTTCTGTTGCCCATGCTGGAGTGGCATGATCTCGGCTTACTGCAACCTCCACCTCCCGAGTTCAAACGATTCTGCCACCTCGAGTAGCTTGTACTACAGGCATGCACTACCATGTCTGGCTGATTTTTGTATTTTTAGTAGAAACAGGGTTTTGCTGTGTTGGCCAGGCTAGTCTCAAACTCCTGACGTTCAGTGATCCACCTGCCTCGGCCTCCCAAAGTACTGGGATTACAGGTGTGAGCCACTGTACCCGGCAAGAACTACTTCCTTTTGATGCTGTGTATAAGTTTTAGAAATATACATTAATCTATTTATAATTCATTAACTATGAATTACATGAATTTAAATCAGAATCACATATATGCTTTTATACACAGGAATCTGAAAATAATACCACTCATGAAGATAATTTTTATCTGAGAAATACCAATGCTTACAATGTAAAAAAAATCACTCATATGATTTCAAAGTGCATAATAAACATTCATGTTATTCTTTATAACCCTCTAGCTAACAAATATTATTACTCTCATTTCATACAACACTAGATTCTAGAAAATAAGGCATTAAAAAACTGAGTGGTTGAGAGAGCAAATAAATAGAATCTGGGTGGCAGTTAATGGAGAGAAATAAAGGAATTCTCATTATCTAGTCCAGTATGTCAAATAAATAAAGTATGCTTAATTTTTATGATAAGATAATCATATATATTATCAGAATAGCTTTATTAATATCAACAAGTAAAATATTAGAATCCTCACAGAATCAAAACTCCCAGCCCTGTTGTTGTAGAACCAATAAATATGACAATTTTTTCCCCTGTGATGCTGCCTAAGATTGATACATACCGGTCCCACTCTTGATTCTCATAGCCATATTGGATGCATGGTATAATCTGAAAAAGGTCTTATTACCTAAAGTGTACAGTATTTTGCAGATTGTTATTTTTTTTATTTCTACACTGCATGTCTAAATTTTCCAACTACTTCTACATTAGGGAAGAACATTATAAATGTTATTTTTAAGAAATAACCTTTTGACTTTGAGTCATTTGTAGTGATGTTATGATGAGATCCTTTCAATTTAATGGATCCCTGGAGTCGTACCAAATATGTTATTTAGTTTCAGTGTACAATTAATAAAATGCTATTTGAAATTTGGGGATGGATTTGTAAAAGATGTGCAAAATTCTACTTCCATATGAACACTGTATCTAAAGAAAACCATATGTTGCTGGCAGACCTTGGATAGTATTTAAAATCTGTTGGCTATCTATACACATTACATTGTAACAGAGAATGTTAAGCTCTTTCCCAAAATATCCAACTTTATTACTTTCATAAGTGGTATTTTGTCAGTTTATACTAAGAGCAAAATAAAGGGCAAAGAAAGTACAGAAGGATGACAGAATAAAAATGCTATTTTTAGCATATATGTTAATGAGAAGATGAAGAGAATGAAGTTAAAGGGACCGAAGATGAAGATGTGTGAACCCACCCTCAGTCACGGAGGTATAATTTGGCAAACACCTGCTTGTCAATGCTAGAGGCTAGATTTTCAGAGGCTGAAACCAAAGATAAAGTATCCTTTTTAAGGAAGCCCAGAACTGAAGAATTTGGAGTGAAAATTCACTTAGGAAAAACCTGTTATCATATGCTAGGATGATCAAAAACCACAAACTCTGTCTATGGAATTTGAGGTAGAATCCAGTGAGGGTATGGATCAAGTGGGAAGGAAGTATGATAACTAGTTGAGGGAGAAAAAGCTAACAGAGCAGGTGGTGGTGTTGGCATACAGTAGCCTTCCTGGAGATGATCATTATTTTCTGAAAAAATATTGGAAAAATAATGAATAGATGGAGATAAGAAAAACCTTTTAAAACTATGAATATACTTATAATAGATGGAAAAAATAGTAGTGGTCAGAGGTGAGAATATGGTAAGCATATTACAACTAACTCACTTTGAACTGAAGGCCAACTAAACCAACTGAATGCTTTTATACCTGTATTTCAGCGATTTATTATTGATGAATTGGATGTGGGTTTTGAGGAGAATCAAATGAAGGTAGGATTTCTCCAATGTTTCTTGTCTAAGCAACTTAGTAAATAATGATGACGATTACTAGAAAAGATTGTATTATTGGCACTCAAATAATGGTTTGGTAAACCCTGGAAGTCCCAGAGATCCTTTACAAAGAAGTCTTTGAGATCACATCATTGCTCTTGGCAAAAGAATGGATAATCCACAGAAGAAAAAATCTCTTTGGAGTACTCCATAATTTAAGGAACTTCATGATCAGAATTTCAACAATCTAAATAAAATAGACACAGTCCTTTGAAGTGACTAAGTACCAAAGCTGAGTTAAAGAAAAGTAAGTGCCCAAAAGAGCTCTATCTCTATTAGAGACATCAAATTCATAGTTAAAAACCTTCCCTTAAATAATAGGCTCCAGGTTCAGATGGCATCACCGTTAAATTCTAATATTTAAAAAAGAATAGAAATCCTATAAAAATTCTAAAAAAATAAAAAACCAGAAACACCTTCCAACTTATAAGACCTTCACTACTCTGATACTGAAATAAAAGGCAAAAAGATCTCATAAAAATAAAGTAAAAACCCCCAAAATACAAAGAAATATCCTTCACAAACATGGACAAGAAAATTCTTAATTTGTATATAGCCTACATCTATATAAAGTTTAGCCCAAGAATGAAAGGATAGTTTAACATATGAAAATCAATCAATTTAACATATTTCTAAATAGTTTCCAAAATATAAAAATCATGATTTATTCGATACATACAAACACGCATTTGAGAAAATTCAACACTGTTTCATAAAAATTTCTCAGCAAAATGGATATTGAAGGGAACTTCAATTAAATAAAGGATATCTTTAAAAATTCCACAGATAACATCAAATTTTTTGATGCAAAATGGAGTTTCTTCCCCATAAGATCAGGAAAAAAGTAAAGAATACTTTTCTCATCACTTCTATTTGACACTGTAGTTGAAGTTCTACCCAGTGCAATAAGATATACAGATTGAAAAGGTAATAAAACAGTTTGTACATGCAGAAAATATAATCATCTATGTAGAGTAGAACCATTAACTTAGTTTGTCCGAATAGACTTTTCCCAAAAACCTTTGTCAAAAACAATCAGAGGCAGTTGTTGAATATTAAGGAGGTAGATAGCAGTTGATACAAATAATAAGCTAGCCAAAAAACTTAAAGGGAAAAGCTATGGAATGAGATGTCTGCAAGGAACATTGAAAGGTTATGGTATATTCCTGAGAATGTACAAAGCCACACACATATAGCAAGTGAAGTCTGCATGCTCAGGAAAGACCTGAGAAGGCACTAAGCTCTCACCTCTGGCTAATCTTGAGACTCTGTGCAAGAAAGAAATGAAAGCTAAGGCAGTGCTTTAAACTGTCTGGACAAATGTTGAAGGCATGCTTCAGAACACATACAGAGTCCCTTAGCAAAGACTGAGAGGCTGTTGGTTCCAGCTTTTTAAGGAAATCTCTGTCCAGCCATTAGCTGACCACTAAGGTAATTAAACAGAGATTTCACTGGTCAAATGTAACGAAGAATTCAGATTTCATAGAATTAGTTCAAAGAAGTCACTAACCAAACAATAACAACAAACAACAAAAATGATATCCATGATGAGGGTAAAATGTCTGATTTCCAAAAAGTTTTCACACTATATTACTTCAAATGTCCAGTTTTCAACAACATGTTGGTAGACATGCAAAGAAACAATAATTCATGATCCATACATGAAAAAACAACCAACTGTCCCTGCAAAATCCATCCAGATATTGTATTTATTAGACAAGGACCTAAATCAGTGATTTTTTTAGGAACTATAGGAACATGTCTAACAACTAAAGGAAAGTATTAGAATGATGTCTCACCAAAAAAAGAATGTCAATAAAGAGATAGAAATTATAAAATAGAACCAAATAGATATTCTGAAGCTGAAAAGTATAATAATTGAAATAAAACATTTACTGGAAAAGCTAGTAAACTTGAAGCTAGAGGAATTGAGATTATCCAGTCTTTGTGACTTTGGATTAGGCTATAGTTTCTTAGATATAAAACTAAACCACAAACAACCAAAAAAAATCGGTAAGTTGGACTTCATCAAAATTAGAAACTTTTGTGCATCAAAAGACACTATTAAAAAGTGAAAGAAAACCCACACTAAGGGAGGAAATATTTGCAAGTCATCTATCTGATAAGGGTTTAGAATCCAAAATATATAAAGAAATTTTACAACTTGATAATAAAAAGACAAATGCCCCAACTAAAAATGGTCAAGAGGTTTGAATAGATATTTCTCCAAAGAATATATGCAAGTGGCTAATAAGCACGATAATATATTCAATATAATTAGTCACTAGGGAAATACAAATCGCAACCACAACAATGAGATGCCTGCTGCTTCACATTTACTAGGATAACTATAATCAAAAAGACAGACAATAACAAGTGTTGGCAGGGATGTAGAGAAATGGCACCCTCATGGACTGGTGGTAATATAAATGGTACAGCAGTTTGACCAAAATAAATAAATAAACAAAACCACACACAACAATTTCTCAAGAACTTAAACACAGTTGCCATGTGACCGAGCAATTCCACACTTAAGTGCCATACAAGGTAAGTAAAAACCTAGATCTCCACAAAAAGTTGTACACAAATGTTTACAACAACATTATTCATAATAGATAAAAGGTGGAAACAACCCTAATATCCATCAAGTGATGAATGGATAAGCAGCATATGGTATTTTTTCAACCTATTAGGGTGGAGCAGGTGGATATCTACATGCAAATTAATAAATAATAAAACTGAGCAACAGCCCTTGTCTCACGGCATGTACAAAAATTAAAGTGGATCATGAACATATCTGTAAAATCTAAAACTATAAACTTTTGGAATAAAGTATGAGAAAAATCTTTTTGGACTTGTGTTAAGCAAAGATTTATTAGATAAAACAAAAAATGGAATATAAAATAAAAACTGACACTTTGAACCGATAAAAATTTCAAACTTTTCTCTTCAAAAGCCACTATTAATAAATTGCAAAAAGCAAGCCACAGTTTGGGAGAAAATACTTGTAAAACATATTTCTAATAAAGGGCTTTTACATTTACTAGAGAACTCTTACTATCAAGTATCTCTAAGATAATGAGCTCTTGTTTCTCATCACTGTTGGTACAAAGAACCAGACTTGTCTTTAGCATACAAGACATAGGTGGAAAGCACTAAAAATTCTGGGCCTAGACACAAATCAAGGTATTTCCTATCGTAATAATACTCACCCTGTTTCAACCCCTGAAATCCAAATTTACTACAGTGTTTCAGTTGTCCCAGGACAGGAAAGATTGGATCCATAAATTTGAATTCTATTCCAGAAGGAGCCATGCAGCCTGGTTAATACAAGATAATCCAGGTTTATGACTGTTATCCTGTAGTAATAGTGTCCCTTTTATTTTACAATGTTACTAGTTTAATATATAATTATGTGGTCATGCTAACCTTAAGCCACATTCAAATTAATGGGTAAACAGCTAATTTTTGAAAGAATTATTTGGGTAGACTAGTATGGAAGAATGAGGGGATAAACAGCTGGGGCTACTTCTTTCTTTGTCAATAACACCCACATCAATACAGCTGTTTTTAAATTTTAAGAGCCTGGGTTAAGGTTGCTAAACTGTTTGAAAGGTATGGTACAATTGGAAGTGCCCCAAGAGGTTGTGTCCAAATTACTCACCTAAAAGCCATCCTTTTCCACCTTTCTGATATTTACTATTCTACTTTTTTAAATGGGGTTGGTATCATCTTCCTTCAATATATCATTAGGATGTCATAAAGAACATATATGATAATATGTGAATGCAATGTAAATTTCAATGTGAAATACATAATTGTTTTGGAAGAAGTCCCATTTTGCATTGAAAATCTCAACCTCCATTTAGGTTTTCTTGAGGACTGTTTAGTAGACACACGCTGAATATCTTTCTCCTCCTTTAAATTTTCAGTCTCTGATGAAAGTGAACCTAGAAATCTGTGTTTGTTTCAACCAACTGGACTGGATTGTGCACCTAACCCAGTCTGACTAAGACTAAGAAATTCTTCCTCTCAAGAATTTGAATTGAGTTACATGATGTATTTTTCTGATGATGTCCCACAAATTATAGGATTATATAAAGTTTTGGTGGGAGTTGGTCCCAGTGCTGACTCTAAACCTTTGGGATACTGAAACTATGAGAAAACTCTAACTAAGCACCTTATAGAAGGTCTCCTAGAGAGAATGGAAAAGAGCAAAGAGAGGGAGAGAGAGGGAGTAAGTGGAGTCCAGCCACCTTAAGGCTCTTGCCCAGAGGAAAGAAAAGATAGTTGCTGGTCCATGAATTCTGCAGTTAGATTCTGCAGGCTATCCTTGCATTCTTAACATAAAGCTCCCTTCACTTATGTGAGCCGGGATGGGTTTTGGTTCTTACCAACCAAACGCTCCCTAAGTCAACCAAAAAAGTTTACCCACTGTGTAAAACAGTCCTTGAATCACCTCAAACTTTCTTTGATAAAAATATAGCATTAGATTTACCCTTTCACTTCAGTCTGACAATCACTACATTCATACCCCTAGTCTCAGGTTTAATTTTTTCCACTTAAAAAAAATCAAGTCTTTGGAAATAAGATTATTTTTCTTTCAATATAAATCTGTAGTGCCTTGTACACTTAAAATACTATCATTGATATACAAATATCTCAGAAGGTTACATATATATGTGTATTATATATGTAAAAGAGAAAGACTATTTCTTAGAAATAAGGAAATATGAATCTGGTCTGCTTTTTGCTAGTAGTACAACTTATTTCTCTCTTCCTAGTTTTCTCTTGCTACAAAGTTTTATGCTTTAAAGATTGCCCAGCTAATGCAGCACTTGCTGGGAAGTTGAGGTATTATCTGTGCAGTTTAAATAGTTATGAGTAAAAAGAAACTACAAGCTGAAGGGTGTTCCATTTATGAAAGCTTTAATGGATATAGTTTAGCCCAAACTGAAACCTGTTTGGGGAGCACAACTGCATTTGTTTAGTGATATATGAAAATATTACTCTGTACTTGGCATAGCATCAGCGAGTAATTGGAAAGCAGAAAATGCCGAACTGTAGTTGGTGAGACTTTTACTGCTGGAAGAAAAACTGCTATGATTATAGCAGAAGTCTACGTTAGCTAAATAACCATGCTTCTGGGGCTTAAATGCAGGGAATATTATTGCGCATATGTCATGACAATGCAGTCTCTGTCTTATTAAGTGTGGGTTTGGTCCCATGTGGGCAGTGGTGAACAAATATTGTATAGCATTGGCACTTGGCAGTGGCACCTGCAAAACAGACGTCATTGGCAGATGTTGCACTTATTCTAATTCAGAACCACGTTGGCTTCTAATGAGACTTCTGAGAAACAGTGGGGTGGTGGATATTCACAGCTTCCAATTAGACATAGGAGAGCAGGGAAACAAGCATGTAGGGAGATTATTTGGGAGCCTTTGCATTTGTTTCACTGGCATATATTCTACTCACTCCCCCTCCTTTTTTTTTTCTATTCCTTTCTTTGAGAGACAAAGACACTCAGGCTGAGTGGGTCTCAGTGATTTGAGTGTGGATAATTTCAAGTCACAGCTGATTGAATTTTCTATTGTATGTTTGTGTGTGTGTAGAAAAGAGACTAAAGAGAGAATTAAGTAAGGATCCTACTGTGGTGGGCTAAGGGTAAGAAGTGTCTACTGGGATTTCTGAGCAGTCTGAATGGAGCTTACCTCCATGAAAACTCTTTTCTGTTATCCAGGAGATGGCACACTTTTTTTTTTTTTTTTTTTGAGATGGAGTCTCACTATGTTACCCAGGCTGGAGTATAGTGGCACAATCTCAGCTCACTGCAACCTCCACCTTCTGAGTTCAAGAAATTCTCCTGCCTCACTCTCCCAAGTAGCTGGGATTACAGCAGCACGCCAACACACCCAGCTAATTTTTGTATTTTTAGTAGAGAGAGGGTTTTACCAGGTTGGCCAGGCTGATCTCAAACTCCTGACCTCAGTTGATCTGCCTGCCTTGGCCCCTCAAAGTGCTGGTACAGGCATGATCCACTGCACCTGGCTAGCACACTTTGAAGTACTTGAGACTACAGGAGTTGTAGCCATTCATCTTACCTGGTCAGATTCTGGTCTTCTGGAGCAAGTTGAAAAGCATGTAGCTCACTCTAAATTATGTATTCTGAAAACAGCCCAAAGCCTTCACTAAACAACTCTAAAGCTCATCTTAATTATTCAGTAATTAGAAGTTTAATATGAAATATACAGTTATTTGGTCTATTCAAATATTTTTTAAAATCCATAGATTATGATATATGTGTATACGCATACACACATGCTTTAATTTTCTTTTCAAATTTAGTATTATATATATTAAAGAGAAACTAAATTATAAAAGTTATAAATGTACATGCTTTTAAAATTCAGATAATCCTACAGCATTTTTAAAAAGCAACAATACCCTTTTCCCCTTTCTTACAAAAATTCCTATCTAACCCTACTTACTCTTACCTCCAGATGCAACCATTTTTAACTTTCTTAGCTATTTTGTTTGGAATTTACCTTCAGACAGTTACTTTTTGATTCTTTATGTCAGACATATTGCCATTCTCTATGGCAGATGAGGATTTATCCTTTTATATGTGCCCTTGGTCCACCCGCAATACCTACACCCCTCTCCAACTCCCAGCTGTGTGATAATTTTCAGTTTGATCAATGTTTGCCTTATCATGATTTCACAAATATTATCATAATGTACTTCATGCCTAAGCTGTGTCAAATGTTATATTATGATTATGTTTCCTTGCCTATAAGCCTATTGATTTCCCTAAAGTTAATAATTGCTCCATTTTTTCTTGTTTTCTGTAATCAAATTATTCCCCAATCCTTCTTTATAAGTATAAATCTCCCCTTGATACATTGGAACATATCAGATATCCTCTTTTGTTCTCTGTCTTCCTCCCTCCTTTCTTTTCTTTTCTTTCCTCTCCTTTCATTTTTCTTTTATTTGCCTTTCCTTTCTTAATCTTCATAATTTCATTTATATATAAAGAGATAAAACCCATGCAAAATTAAATAACATATTGTTTATGGATATTTAAATACACATTCACACACACTGATATGGTTTGGATGTTTGTCCCCTCCCAATCTCATGTTGAAATGTGATCCCCCATGTTGGAAGTGGGCCTAGTGGGTGGTGTTTGGGTCATGAGGGTGAATTCCTCATGCATGGCTTGGGGTCCTTCCCATGGTAATGTTACCATGAGAGCTGTTTGTTAAAAAGTCTGGGACTTCCCTTTTCTTTCTTTTGCTGCTGTCCTTGCCATGTGATGCACCTGCTCTCTCTTTACCTTCTAGCATGATTGAAACTTCCTGAGGCCCTCACCAGAAGCAGATGCTGTTGCCATGCTTCTGGTACACTCTGCAGAACCATGAGCAACATAAACATCTTTTCAAAATAAACTATAGCAATACAGAGTGGACTAACACACACACACAGGCACACACACACACATATACACACATCCCTCAGAAACACCATTTGGGAGCCATGATACTTCTGAAGGCAAAGAGAAGAGCGTAGGCAGGGGAATACATTCTAAGTTGGGGAGGGGTAGGCATTTAAAGTTAATGATAATATTCTGTTTCTTAAACTTGGTAGCAGAGTGCTCTTTATACTTCACCACACTTTGTAACTACTAAACAATAAAAACTATTCCAAAGAGCCAATGCTACCTTCCCCTTCCACTGTTTTATCCTTCCCATAAGGTGACCACTTTTTTTTTTCAGGTGATTATTTTGGTACTTAATTTATGTCTCATGGTTATATGCTTAAATTGCTACTTAAAAATATTGTTACTTCTTGATAATGTTATATCTTAAGCTTTATTACTGATCCTCTCATCTGATGAGAATACAGACTTTTTCTTTTCCACACCATCCACTTATAAGCATCCTTCCTAGCACCCCTTACTTCATTTATTTTTGGTATGTTTGCTTTTCTTAGTACTTATTAATTTAAGTAAAAACTCTAAAACAATTGCATAAATTTTCACCTAAGATGTGCAGATACGTGGAAAGATGTTTCCCTTGCAACTTGCTGTAGAAGTCTTTGCTAAACCTATTAACCTTCTTCAATCTCGACTGACTTGCCTCTAAGTCTGCACCGAGTTGTTACCCTGGGATTTACCGCCACCACCACTCTGGGAATTCCTCTCATTTCTATTTATTGATCTCTTGATTCTATTTTCCTCTGTCTTACTCTCTCTTAGGTTTAATTACTATTTTGAAAGAGCATATTCTCTAGTATCCTTCTCAACAAAGGCCCATGGTAGATGAATATATTACAAACATGCTTCTGATTTTTAGATTGAGTGAATAAAATAATTCTAATTTGGCAATTATGCTTTCATTCAGAATTTGCCAATGCATTGCTTCTTTTTTTTCCAGCTTCCAACCTGCTATTGACAATTTCGAAGACATTGTTCCCTAATCATTTGAATATTTCTTGTTCTCTAATTACCTGAAATTTTGTAGATTATTTTCCTTGTGATTAAGGTTCCAGTGTTTCATAATAAAGTACATTGATGTGGGTTTGTTTTCATTTAGTTTCCTGACAGATGGATAAATTTTCTTTAAAATATTTAATGATGAATTTCTCCATTCTGGTTTTTTTTTCTGTTCTCTCAGGGAATTTCTATTGTTTGATTGTTATAACTCTTGGTATAGCCACCTAATTGAATTTTTTATTTTCTCTCTTTATGACAAAGAATGTTGATCTCCATTATACGATCTTCCCTTCCTCCTTGAATTTATGGAATCTCCTGGTTTGTAGCTTGGTTCATGAACATCCAGCTACTTTCTAAACTTTTCAGCCCTCCTTATCATTAAGTATTGCCATGGGACTAAGTTCTGGCTAATGGAAATGTGAGAAAAAGGTATGTAAAATCTCCCTTTATGCACAACATTGTCCTTAAAAGGAAGCTGCATTCTTCCATTTTTTCCCTTTGAAGATATCTGGAATATGTATGTGGTGGTGATAAACCAAGGGAAACTTCTAGGGGATGAAGTAGCAACAAAATGTAAGAAACATAGGCCTCAGGCAATTTTATTGATAATAAATAACAGATGCCCTACTATTTTGTTGATCACTGTGGACGTGTGTGTGTGTGTGTGTGTGTATGTGTGTGTGTGTGTGTGTGTGACAGAGACTGAGAGATAGAAACCTAACTCATTTAAGCCATTCTTACTTTTATCTCTATTAAAGAATCAAGCCAATAACCTGAGCATAATGCTCTTTTTTTTCCTTTTCTTACTGTGAGAGTTTCTCTAATTTATCTTACAAACTTTGTATTAATTTTCTCCTTTCCCTCCATTTCTTTCCTTATAGTTTAAATTTTCAAAAACTCCCCCCACTTTAAAACAATAATATCCTGTTTTTTTCCTCTTGGATTCAATATCTTCTCTTATCTCTCTGAGTATATTGTTTTTCTTGTTAAGTTTTAATCTTTCAGCATAGTCTTTTCCTCCATATTCCAAAGACTTTTTTGTTTGTTTTGTATTCCATCTTTCATACCTCTGACAATCTTTACATGATTACCCTTACCTTAGTCTGGGAAATTAAAAAGTAAATTGGAATCTATTAATGCCTCACTAGATCTTATCAATTGCAAGCTTAACTGCAGAGTGATGTGCCTGGGAAATTCAGATAGGATTTGTCCTGAATCTTCAAATCTTTTTTCCTGGGCTGGTCAGATTCCCCAGAGAGTAAAGTTCTGGTCTCTGGAGGTCTAGAGATATGAGCCCTAGAGATATGATAAACATATGAAAGAGCCCTGGGCATGGGCTGTTGTCTCAGGCATTACTGTGCTTACAGTCACTAAATGCACCTGTTTGTAGTGTAATACTTCCTCAAGTCCGGAAATCCTTTAACAACTGGTCAGTCTTCTTCTAGAATAGTAGAATGGTAGGGCAGGTACTACTTGAATGGAATCTGGGAACAACCTAGTTTATTCTTACACTAACTTTTTCCCCTTCATTGTATCTTCCTCTTCTCTCCGTAACCATTTTCTGAGGTATTGGTGCTATTAATGTTTGCAACTTTTGGGGAATCTGAATTGTTAACCTGATTAGCGCTTGGTTTTCCCCACTGCTGGCTTATAATTTAATTTTTTCATGTCCCTTAAGGTCTTCACTATATTTGCTTTCCATGTTTTTTTTTGGGGGGGGAGGGGGGGCGAAATTTCCTTTTTTATTTAACTCAGTTCAAGTAGAGTTTTCTGTTTCTTATAGCAGAAAGTATCCTAACTGGTTTGCTTGTTTTGTTTTGTGTTGTTTTGTTTCCCCAAGCCTGTTTCTCTGAAGTCAGCATTTCTTTTTTTCTTTTTTTTTTTTTAATTATACTTTAAGTTCTGGGATACATGTGCAGAACCTGCAGTTCTGTTACATAGATATACATGTGCCATGGTGATTTGTTGCACCCATCAAATCATCAACTACATTAGGTATTTCTCTTAATGTTATCCCTCCCCTAGCCCCCCATCCCCCACAGGCCCCGGTGTGTGATGTTCCCCTCCTGGTGTCCATGTGTTCTCATTGTTCAGCTCCCACTTATGAGTGAGAACATGTAGTGTCTGGTTTTCTGATCTTGAGATAGTTTGCTGAGAATGATGGTTTCCAGCTTCATCCATATCCCTGCAAAGGACATGAACTAATCCTTTTTCATGGCTGCATAGTATTCCATGGTGTATATGTGCCACATTTTCTTAATCTAGTCTATCCTTGATAGACATTTGGGTTGGTTCCAAGGCTTTGCTATTGTGAATAGTGTTGCAGTAAACACACGTGTGCATGTGTCTTTATCGTAGAATGATTTATAATCCTTTGGGTATATGCCCAGCAATGGGATTGCTGGGTCAAATGGTATTTCTAGTTCTAGATCCTTGAGGATTACCACACTGTCTTCCACAATGGTTGAACTAATTTACACTCCCACCAACAGTGGGAGTAAAAGCATTCCTATTTTTCCACAACCTCTCCAGCATCTGTTGTTTCCTGACTTTTTAATGATCGCCATTCTAACTGGTGTGAGATGGTATCTCATTGTGGTTTTGATTTGCATTTCTCTAATGACCAGTGATGATGAGCATTTTTCATATGTCTGTTTGGCTGCATAAATGTCTTCTTTTGAGAAGTGTCTGTTCATATCCTTTGCCCATATTTTGATGGTTTTTTTTTTCTTGTAAATTTGTTTAAGTTCTTTGTAGATTCTGGATATTAGCCCTTTGTCAGATGGGTAAATTGCAAAAATTTTCTCCCATTCTGTAGGTTGCCTTTTCACTCTGATGGTAGTTTCCTTTGCTGTGCAGAAGCTCTTTAGTTTAATTAGGTCCCATTTGTCAATTTTGGCTTTTGTTGCCATTGCTTTTGCTGTTTTAGACATGATGTCCTTGCCCATGCCTATGTCCTGAATGGTATTGCCTAGGTTTTCTTCAAAGATTTTTATGGTCCTAGGTCTTACATTCAAGTCTTTGATCCATCTTGAATTGATTTTTCTATAAGGTGTAAGGAAGGGGTCCGGTTTCAGTTTTCTGCATATGGCTAGCCAGTTTTGCCAACACCATTCATTACATTGGAAATCTCTTCCCCATTGCTTGTTTGTGTCAGGTTTGTAAAAGATCAGATGGTTGTAGATGTGTGGTGTTATTTCTGAGGCCCCTGTTCTGTTCCATTGGTCTATGTATGTGTTTTGGTACCAGTACCATGCTGTTTTGGTTATTGTGGCCTTGTATTAAAGTTTGAAGTCAGGTAGCATGATACCTCCAGCTTTGTTCTTCTTGCCCAGGATTGTCTTGGCTATGCGGGCTCTTTTTGGTTCCATAAGAAGCTTAAAGTAGTTTTTTCCAATTCTGTGAAGAAGGTCAGTGGTAGCTTGATGGCAATAGCATTGAACCTATAAATTACGTTGGGCAGTAAGGCTAATTTCACAATACTGATCCTTCCTATCCATGAGCATGGAGTGTTTTTCTATTCGTTTGTGTCCTCTCTTATTTCCTTGAACAGTGGTTTGTACTTTTCCTTGAAGAGATCCTTCACATCCCTTGTAAGTAGGATTCCTAGATATTTTAGTCACCTAGTAGCAATTGTGAATGGGAGTTCACTCATGATTTGGCTCTCTATCTGTCTCTTATTGGTGTATAGGAATGCTTGTGATTTTTGCACATTGATTTTGTATCCTGAGGTTTTGCTGAAGTTGCTTATCAGCTTAAGGAGATTTGGGGATGAGACGATGGGGTTTTCTAAATATACAATCATGTCATCTGCAAACAGAGACAATCTGACTTCCTCTCTTCCTATTTGAATACCCTTTATTGCTTTCTCTTTTCTGATTGCCCTGGCCAGAACTTCCAATACTATGTTGACTAGGAGTGGTGAGAGAGGGCATCCTTATCTTGTGCCAGTTTTCAAAGGGAATGCTTCCAGTTTTTGCCCATTCAGTATGAAATTGTCTGTGGGTTTGTCATAAATAGCTCTTATTATGTTGAGATACATTCCATCAATATCTAGTTTATTGAGAATTTTTAGCATGAAAGGCTGTTCAATTTTGTTGAAGGCCTTTTCTGCATCTATTGCGATAATCATGTGGTTTTTATCATTGGTTCTGTTTATGTGGTGGATTACGTTTATTGATTCACATATGTTGAACCAGCCTTGCATCAGAGGGATGAAGCTGACTTGATCATGGTGGATAAGCTTTTTGTTGTGCTGCTGGATTCTGTTTGCCAGTATTTTATTAAGGATTTTTGCATGGGTGTTCATCAGGGACATTGGCCTAAAAATCTTTTTTTTGTTGTTGTGTCTCTGCCAGGCTTTGTATCAGGACGATGCTGGCCTCATAAAATGAGTTAGGGAGGATTCCCTCTTCTTCTATTGATCAGAATAGTTTCAGAAGGAATGATACCAGCTCCTCTTTGTACCTCTGGTAGAATTCGGCTGTGAATCTGTCTGGTCCTGGACTTTTTTGGTTGGTAGGCTATTAATTATTGCCTCAATTTCAGAACCTGTTTTTAGTCTATTCAGAGACTCAACTTCTTCCCGGTTTAGTCTTGGGAGGGTGTATGTGTCCAGGAATTTATCCATTTCTTCTAGATTTTCTGGTTTATTTGAGTAGAGGTGTTTATAGTATTCTCTGATGGTAGTTCGTGTTTCTGTGGGAGCAGTAGTGATATCACCTTTATCATTTTGTATTGCATCTATTTGATTCTTCTCTCTTTTATTCTTTATTAGTCTTGCTAGTGGTCTATTTTGTTGATCTTTTCAAAAAACCAGCTCCTGGATTCATTGATTTTTTTGAAGGTTTTTTTGTGTCTCTATCTCCTTCAGTTCTGCTCTGATCTTAGTTATTTCTTGCCTTCTGCTAGCTTTTGAATTTGTTTGCTCCTTGCTTCTCTAGTTCTTTTCATTGTGATGTTAGGGTGTCAATTTTAGATCTCTCCTGCTTTCTCTTGCAGGCATTTAGTGCTATAAATTTCTCTCACACACTGCTTTAAATGTGTCCCAGAGATTCTGATATGTTGTGTCTTTGTTCTCATTGGTTTCAAAGAACATCTTTATTTCTGCCTTCATTTTGTTATGTACCCAGTAGTCATTCAGGAGCAGGTTGTTCAGTTTCCATGTAGTTTTGTGGTTTTGACTGAGATTCTCAATCCTGAGTTCTAATTGGATTGCACTGTGGTCTGAGAGACAGTTTGTTGTGATTTCTGTTCTTTTGCATTTGCTGAGGAGTGTTTTACTTCCAATTATGTGGTCAATTTTAGAATAAGTGCAATGTGGTGCTAAGAAGAATGTATATTCTGTTGATTTGGGGTGGAGGGTTTTGTAGATAGCTATTAGGTCCATTTGATCCAGAGCTGAGTTCAAGTCCTGGATATGCTTGTTAATTTTCTGTCTTGTTGATCTAATATTGACAGTGGTGTGTTAAAGTCTCCCATTATTATTGTGTGGGAGTCTAAGTCTCTTTGTAGGTCTCTAAGAACCTGCTTTATGAATCTGGGTGCTCCTGTTTTGGGTGCACATATATATTTAGGATAGTTAACTTTTCTTGTTGAATTGATCCCTTTACCATTATGTAATGGCCTTCTTTGTCTCTTTTGATCTTTGTTGGTTTAAAGTCTGTTTTATCAGAGACCAGGATTGCAACACCTGCTTTTTTTTGCTTTCCATTTGCTTGGTAGATCTTCCTCCATCCCTTTGTTTTAAGCCTATGTGTGTATTTGCAAGTGAAATGGGTCTCCTGAATACAGCACACAGATGGGTATTGACTCTTTCTTTATCCAATTTGCCAGTCTGTGTCTTTTTCATTAGGACATTTAGCCTATTTACATTTAAGGTTAATATTGTTATGTGTGAATTTGATCCTGTCATTATGATGCTAGCTGGTTATTTCACCCATTAATTGATGTAGTTTCTTCAAACCATCAGTGATCTTTAGAATTTGGCATGTTTTTGCAGTGGCTGTTAAGAGTTGTTCTTCTCCATGTTTGGTGCTTCCTTCAGGAGCTCCTGTAAGGCAGGCCTAGTGGTGACAAAATCTGTCAGCATTTGCTTGTCTGTAAAGTATTTTATTTCTTCATCACTTATGTAGTTTGGCTGGATATGAAATTCTGGGTTGAAAATTCTTTTCTTTAAGAATGTTGAATACTGCCCCCACTCTCTTCTGGCTTGTAGAGTTTCTGCCAAGAGATCCACTGTTAGTCTGATGGGTTTCCCTTTGTGGGTAACCCGACCTTTCTCTCTGGCTGTCCTTAACATTTTTTCCTTCATTTCAACCTTGGTGAATCTGACAATTGTGTGTCTTGGGGTTGCTCTTTTCGAGGAGTATCTTTGTGGTTTTCTCTGTATTTCCTGAATTTGAATGTTGGCCTGCCTTGCTAGGATGGGGAAGTTCTCCTGGATCATATCCTGAAAAGTGTTTCCCAACTTGGTTCCATTCTCCCCATCACTTTCAGGTACACCAATCAAACCTAGAATTGGTCTTTTCACATAGTCCCGTATTTCTTGGAAGCTTTGTTCATTTTTCACTGTTTTCTCTAATCTTGTTGTCTCACTTCGTTTCATTAGTTTGATCTTCAATCACTGATATCCTTTCTTCCGCTTGATCAAATCAGCTATTGAAGCTTGTGTATTCTTCACGAAGTTCTCGTACTGTGGTTTTCAGCTCCATCAGATCATTTAAGGTCTTCTCTACACTGTTTATTCTAGTTAACCATTCGTCTAACCTTTTTTCAAGGTTTTTAGCTTCCTTGTGATCGGTTAGAACATGCTCCTTTAGCTTGGAGAAGTTTGTTATTACCGACCTTCTGAAGCCTACTTCTGTCAACTCATCAAACTCATTCTCCATCTAGTTTTGTTCCCTTGCTGGTGAGGAGCTTTGTTCCTTTGGAGGAGAAGAGGTGATCTGGTTTTTGGAATTTTCAGCATTTCTGCTGTGGTTTCTCCTCATCTTTATGGTTTTATCTAACTTTGTTCTTTGATGTTGGTGACCTGTGTATGGGGTTTTGGTGTGGATGTCCTTTTTGTTGATGTTGATGCTATTCCTTTCTGTTTGTTAGTTTTCCTTCTAACAGACAGACCTCTCAGCTGCAGGTCTGTTGGAGTTTGCTGGAGGCCCACTCCAGATCCTGTTTGCCTGGGTATCACCAGAAGAGGCTGCAGAACAGCAAATATTACGGCCTGATCCTTCCTCTGAAAGCTTCGTCCCAGAGGGGCACTTGCTTTTATGAGGTGTCTGTCGGCCCCTACTGGGAGATGTCTCCCAGTCAGGCTACACGAGGGTAAGGGACCCACTTGAGGAGGCAGTCTGTCCATTATTGGAGCTCGAACACCGTGTTGGGAGAACTACTGCTCTCTTCAGAGCTGTCAGGCAGGGAAGTTTAAGTCTGGAAAAGCTGTCTGCTGCCTTTTGTTCAGATATGCCCTGCCCCCACAGGTGGAATCTAGAGAGGCAGTAGGCCTTGCTGAGCTGCAGTTCGAGCTTCCCTGCCACTTTGTTTACACTGTGAGCGTAGAACCAGCTACTCAAGCCTCAGCAATGGCAGATGCCCCTCCCCCCAACAAGCTCCTGTGTCCCAGATTGAGCTCAGAGTGCTGTGCTAGCAGCGAGCAAGTCTCCGTGGGTGTGGGACCTGCTGAGCCAGGCACGGGAGGGGATCTCCTGGTCTGCCAGTTGTGAAGACCATGGGAAAAGCACAGTATTTGGGCAAAAGTGTACTGCTCCTCCAGGTAGAGTCACTCCCTGGCTAGGCTCCCTTGGCTAGGAAAGGGAAATCCCCTGACCCCTTGTGCTTCCCGGGTGAGGTGACACCCTGCCCTGATTCAGCTCACCCTCCATGGGCTGCACCCACTGTTCAACGAGTCCCAGTGAGATGAACCAGGTACCTCAGTTGGAAATGCAGAAATCACCTGTCTTCTGCGTCGATCTCGCTGGGAGCTGCAGACTGGAGCTGTTCCTATTCAGCCATCTTGGAAGCATCCTTTGCTTTCCATTTTTAAAACCTCTATGGCCCATCTCATCTTTCATGCTCTATGTGCCCTGTGGTTTTCTAAGTGAAACAAAACACAACAAAACAAAACTGGCTATCATTTTGGTGGGCTGTGCTCAAGTTGCCTCTACATAAAAGTCTTACCCACCTTTCTTGGTATTTTTGTTCTAATAACTGGAGCTATGTAGTGTCTCTTGTCACACTTGTGTATTAGATGGCTGCTGTTATCCAAACAGGATGCCATGGGGGTTTCTGTTGCTGTATTTTTGTTCTCTCAACTCAGGCTATGCTGGACTCAGGAGTTATATGTAGACGAGTCAGGTTTAGTTATTAAAGTTTTATTTAATTAAAAAGCATCCTGATTCCCATTTGATTTTCCCCCTAATTCATTTATATGGCAACAGTTTCAGTCTTAATTTTTTTTTGGAACACAAAACTTGTTAGTGATCTCATGTTTAATGTATAAGATTAAGTTTCACCTAATAATAATATTTGCTTAAAATTATAGTATCCAAAAGACTTAGGACTTGAACTCTAATTCTTTTATTTCAAATTACATACTCTTTCAACTTAATTCATTCACTTTTTATTGTTGAACAAATAAGCCTTTATGTGTTTGCTATGTGTTTGGCATTGAGTGATGATAGAGTGGATCACACTATTGTCAACTTCCATGGTCCTGTAGAGGTTATTCTCCGGGATTGGTGGGAAAAATATCAGTAATTTTAAAATGAGTTTATAAATGGGTTTGTTAAAAACATACATTAGCAGGTAGAAGTTGAACACATTCATCTACTTTTTCTCCCTCCCCTAATGTCATTAAATTACTCTGATTATGCTGATGGTTGTTTTGGTTTTGTTTTAAATTAAGTGATTAGAAGGCTTGTCTCCATGGATGAAATTTGAACTAAGAACTGAATGTGATTACTGTGGATGGCCTGTGTAACCACCAAGGCAGTTCTGGGCTTGAATGACAAGAATGCAGACATTTTAAGCTGAAGAGGAAGAATATTCCAGGAAGAGAGAACAACATTCTGTGCAAAGGAGAATGCTTCTACAATGTGCTAAGATATGAAGAAGAAACAGAAGGAGGATAAATGTGTTCACAGCAGAGAGTGAAGGAGAGAGAGAAAGAAATTGTGCAAGGTGAAACACAGGTACCAGATCAGGAAGACTCTAAAACCAGAATCAGAAGTTTATTATAAGTAAGATGCAAAGATGTAAAGCATAATGTAGAGATTGTACGTGATTAGAAGTTGCTGAAGTATTTAAGCTAAAGTGCAGTAAGGAGATATGATATGGTTTCCATTTTTAATAGAACACTCTATTTGCTGGGGAGAGATTGAGTGAAGGGAAATTATATTTTCAGGATACATTTTGGAAGGAATGTCACAGGATTTGATAGTGGGCTGGATGTCGCAGTGAGGAAAAGAAGGGAATATAGAATGACATTTTGGTGTTGGCTTGAACAATTGGGTAGGTAATGTTTGCATCTACTAAGATAAAGAAGACAGGATGAGGAACAGGTTTTAGAATAATATCAAGTATTTTGTTTGGTCCTGTTAAATCTATAATGGATATTTGTCACTCAAGGAAAAGGATATATCGGAAGCTGTTTATTAGTCTGTGGACTTTAGCTATAGAGATATAGATTTGGGAATATATAGATATTATTTAAAACCATTGCTCTAGGCTGGGCACAGTGGCTCACGCCTGTAATCCCAGCGTTTTGGGAGGCTGAGGTGGGCAGATCACGAGGTCAAGAGTTGGAGACTAGCCTGACCAACATGGTAAAACCTTGTCTCTACTAAAAATGCAAAAATTAGCTGGGCCTGGTGGTGTGCGCCTGTAATCCCAGCTACTCAGGAACTGAGGCAGGAGAATTGCTTGAACCCAGAAGGCAGAGGTTGCAGTGAGCCGAGATCATGCCACTGCACTCCATCCTGGGAAACAGAGTGAGACTCCATCTGAAACAAACAAACAAAAACAAACAAACAAAAAACCATTGCTCTAGATGAAATTAATTATTTAGAAAAAAAAATTTGCTTGAAGAGACGGGAACTTAGAACTGCACCTTAGGGCACTTACGTGTCAAATGGAAGAAAATAGCAAAAAAGTTTATGGGAGAAAAGCAAAAATGGAAGAGATAAAAGAAAAACAAAACAGGAAAATGGTAGGACCGAAGTCAAGAAAAAATACTGTTTCCACACATGTCAACTGTACTGAATGGTGTTGAAGGATCAAGAAAGTAAAGAGACAAGTTTTGCTAATTATTACATTTAGCAAATCTCTTGTGATAGTAGCAGCTTCCTCAAGGAGTGGAATGTGGGGTCATTTTGGAAAGATTTTAGGAAAAAAATGAAAGTGATGAGAAAGTGAAGATATGATTGTAGATTATTCTTTCAAGTGGTTTAACTGGGAAGGGGATCAGAGGAGTTCAGCAATAGATGGAATAAAAAGTGAGAATTTAGAGTTTTACTTACTTTTTAATTGGATATTTAATACATGATTCTATTAGATGTAGAATCATGTAGGAAAAGAGGAAGTCAAACGATTGCTGTTTGCAGATGATACGATTGTATTCCTTAAAAATCCTAAGGACTCCTCCAAAAGACACTCAGATTTGAAAAATGAATTCAATAAAGTCTTAGGTTACAAAATCAATGTACACAAATCAATAGCACTGCTATATACCAACAACAACCAAGCTGAGAATCAAATCAAGAACTCAATCCCTTTTACAGCAGCTACAAAACCAAAACCAAAAAAACCTAGGAATATACCTAACCGAGGAAGTGAAAGATCTCTACAAGAAGAACTACAAAATACTGCTGAATGAGATCATAGATGACACAAACCATTGGAAACACATCCCATGCTCACAGATTTGAAGAACTAATATAGTGAAAACGACCATGCTGTCCAAAGCAATCTACAGATTCAATGCAATTCCCATAAAATACCAACACCAGTTTTCAGAAAATTAGAAAAAAAATCCTAAAATTCATAAGGAACTAGAAAAGAGCCTGAATAGCCAAAGAAATTATAAGCAAAAGAAACAAATCTGGAGACATCACGTTACCAGACTTTAAATTATACTACAAGGCTGTAGTTTTCAAAACAGCGTGGTACTGATATAAAACTAGGCATATAGACCAGTGGAACAGAGTAGAGAACCCAGAAATAAAGCTAAGTCTTTACAGCCAGCTGATATTCAACAAAGTGTACAAAACACCCTGTTTAATAAATGATGCTGGGAAAACTGGCAAGCCACATGTAGAAGAATAAAACTGGATCCCTATTTCTCACCATATACAAAAATTGACTCAAGATGGATCAAAGACTTAAATATAAAACCTGAAACCATAAAATTTCTGTGTTGGAAAACAATGTTGGAAAACTTTTCCAGATGCCAGCCTAGGCAAAGAATTCATGAGTAAGACCCCAAAAGCAAATGCAACAAAAATAAAAATAAATAATAGGGACCAAATTAAACTAAAAAGCTCCTGCATAGCAAAATAAATAAACAATAAACAGGCAACCCACAGAATGGGAAAAAATATTTGCAAACTACACACCTGACAAAGGACTAGTGTCCAGATCTATAAGGAACTCAAACAAATTACCACACACACAAAAAATATTCCCATTAAAAAGTGGGGAATGGACATGAGTAGAAGATACACAAATGTTCAAGAAACATGAAAAAATGCTCACCATCACTAATCATCAGAGAAATGCAAATTAAAACCACAATGACATACCACCTTATTCCTGCAAGAATGGCTATTAGTAAAAAGTTAAAAAAAATGGATGTTGGAGTGGGTGTAAGGAAAAGGGAACACTTATATACTGCTACTGGGAATGTAAATTAGTGCAACCTCTATAGAAAACAGTATGGGATTTCTTAAAGAGCTAAAAGTAGATCTACCATTGGATCCAGCAATCCCACTACTGGGTACCTACCCAAAGGAAAAGAAGTCATTATATGAAAAAGACACTCACTTGCACACGTATTTTTATAGCAACACAATTTACAATTGCAAATCTGTGGAACCAACGTAAGTGTCCGTGGACTAATGACTGGATAAAGAAAATGTGGTATATATACACCATGGAATACTACTCAGCCATTAAAAGGAATGACATAATGTCTTTTGCAGAAACTTAGATGGAGCTGTAGGACATTATTCTAAGTAAAGTAACCGGAGTGGAAAAGAAAAAATCATATGCTCTCACTTGGAAGTGGGAGCTAAGCTATGGGCATGCAAAAGCATACAGATAGATATAATGGACTTCAGAGACTCAGAAGAGGGAGGCAGGGACCGGTGCCAGGGATAAAAATCTACACATTAGGTACAATGTACACTACTCAAGTGATGGGTGGACTAAAATCTCAGAATTCACCACTATATAATTTATCCATGTGACAAAAAAAAAAAAAACACTTGTGCCCCAAAAGCTACTGAAATTTACCAATAAATAAAGAAAATATTAAAACATAAATTAAATAAACCTTGAGAAAAGGAGGTAGGCGTTAATCAATGAGCAAAATCCTTTAGAAGCAGGAGTGGATGGAATCCAGAGCAGGAAAGGCTAACGTCTTGTAGGAATGACAAGATGTCCTGCAATTGTAATTAGAAGGAGGCAGAGTATATAAATGCAAATGAGCTGGAGATTTAATGGAAATAAGTGAGAAAGTTACTGTTTCATTATTCAAATAACATCATTAAAATAAGAGCAAGGTTATTTGCTCAAATAGTGGGACAAGGAGCATATTAGACTTACTAGCTCCAAACTGACACTTGGATTATGTGTCTTTTTTTAAGCTGAATCATAATGCATTTCTCCATACAACTTTAGCATATGCCAGCAATAAAAAATATAGATTTATAATCCTTGAAATATGCATCACTAACCATTAGCAACTTATCACTCACATATAGGTTCTGATATATTGCCTCTACTCACTTAACTGTAAAGTTTTCATCTTGGGGCCAAAATATTAGCATACTGACAGTATATCCACAGTGAGTGATGATCACTAGTAGAATTTTTCAAATCTTCCTACTTTTTGTGTGCCATGTAAATCAACATTTGCTCACATTTCTGGCATATCCATAGTGTTATAACCTTTTCCCACAGTGTGCATAGGCGAACAATGTAGCAATGATAGAGCTTAGTCCCCATTGCAGCCTATATTAATCATCATTATCAACTTATATTTAATAAGCACTAAGTCCTATCAGGAGAGACTTCTGTTCCTATATCCCCAAAACAATGAGTTATATAATTGTTTAATCCTATTTGAAAATAATGTTTCATTTTCCCTATAGAGCCTCTGACATGAGACATTCCATTAACAAGAAGAAAATAAATGCTTAAGGATATAAGAAATAACTTCCATATATCCCATTTGTGGTTTAGTTGAATAGGATGCCAAAGTTATATAAAACACCAGACCATATACAGCTTTGAGATTTTGCTAAATATTGTTATGTGTTTCAATGAAAATATTCACTTACCCATTTTTCCTGATGACATTTGAAAAAATAAAGATGAAACAAGAGAAGTCATATTGTCCGATTTTCTACTAGAGGGCCTTTTAGTAGGAAGTATTTTATCATAATGAAAAGTACACTATTGTGCACAGTATGTTACTCAGTGTTTTAAGGAGAAGGCTACTGTTTGGAAGAAAAAGGAGTCCATTAATCTGTATAAGATTTAATCATTTATGTCATTAGTGAGTTAATAATAGTATAAATGACTTAATTTTTTTTAATAGATCTATAGTGTACTATCTTATACAGATTATCTGTAATGAAGTGAGGATATCAGATGTACAGCAGTACGATACACTCTAAACTTATGGAGTTTTAGAAAATGCATAATAAAATGTATTTACATGAAAATTATCATATTTTAAGTTAAAGATGCTAGAGAGGAAAAAATAATTAGATAAACTGAGGCCAGAGCTGGGTCCATACAAGGATGAAATGCTTTTGCAGTATAATTAAAGAAACCTCTGTCCAAATTCTCACCTTGGACTGATCATGTTTTACTTCACTTTCACTCCCAGTAATTCTGCACTGTATTTTCTCCTTATCTCACCAAGACCCAGCATCTTTATAGAAAATAAATGAGTAAACAATTAAAAATACAAACACACACACAGAAATCAAATACACAGTATTCTGAAAGCCATTGCCAAATGTACGTACGTTGCCTGGATGCTGTTTAACCCTTTTTCAAAAACATTAATCATGAATAAGCTTACTGACAGAATGTGCATGTCACCATTACTCTGGATCATGTTTTCCTCGGTAATGAAATAACTGATATTGAACTTTTGATCTATGATACACTTGGAGCTTTCGTGATTTGAATCAGATTATCCTGTTGAGCCATAGAGCACTGAGAGGTTGACACTTGGGCCAGAGTAGACTTGATTAGGAATGGGGGTGGCAGCAGCAATCATACAGGTATAGCAGTTGTCATGTTTTATTAAGGTTGGTCTATTTACCTGAAACTGAGCATTTTGAGAGCTGTCACTCACTACCTTACACGTTGCATATGCCTACCACAAATCTAGAGAACTAAAAATGCTTGTTGGTTTGGACTGTGTCTGCACAACACAATTTTCCCAAACTGGAGAGGTCATGTTTGAGGTTAGAAGGCCTCAGGAGGAGAAGGAAGCGTCGTAACAAATGAGATCATTACCTCCTTGAAATGTTACTTTTCCCAGTACTATCTAATCTAATGATGGAACCAGTAACACCTTTTGTACTTCCATGTAGACAGATTTATCCTTGCAGAGAGAACCGAAGCTTAAAATATAAACCCATAAATTGTTATTAAGGTCATTTAAAATCAAGTAAAGAAAATGTTGCTTGAAGGTAGAAAAAAAGAGGTAGTTAAGTGAGAGGACTTCAACTTTTACTGCATATAAACCTCTATGTGTTTGGCTTCTTTATTTTTCTTGCAAGAAGTGTGCTTTTGTAACTAAATATCTAACCAAGCCACTAAATAGATAAATAAATAATACCAAGAAGCAATCGCTGGAACATCAGGCGAGTGAAGAAATCATAGAGGAAAAATGGCTTTAAGAATACTGATCTAAGCTGGGTGCCGGGGCTCACGCCTGTAATCCCAACATTTTGGGAGGCTGAGGCGGGTGGATCACTTGAGATCAGGAGTTCGAGACCATCCTGACTAATGGGGTTTCACCAAACCCTGTCTCTACTAAAAATACAAAACATTAGCCGGACATGGTGGCAGGTGCCTGTAATCCCAGCCACTGAGGATGCTGAGGCACGAGAATCGCTTGAACCCAGGAGGCAGAGGTTGCCATGAGTAGAGAGCGTGCCACTGCACTCCAGCCTAGGCGACAAAGCGAGACTCCTTTTCAAAACAAACAAACAAAACAACAGCAACAACAACAAAAAAAACAGAATACTGATGTAAAATAGTTATCTACTTCTTATTTATTACCTATAAACCAACACCTTTGAATTTTCACTCTCACACCTCTCTTAATACCTTCAGGTAGGTAGGGCTTTCTCCCCTTCTATAATTTTTCCTAGTTGTTTTTAGTGGAGGTGAAACCAGCCCACCTTCCTGCTCCAGGGAACATATGGAAATATGGTGTATGTGTTGAGAGGGACATTTTTTTTTTTTTGTCGTTGAATGACTGTGGAACACTGCTGCTATTTAGTAGCAAGAATGTCAAATATCCTGCAATGCATCTGAGAGTCTCGCAAAATAAAGAACTGTTATGCCCTAAATGCCAATGGTGTGTCTGTTGAGAAACAGTGTGTGACTTTTTCTAATGTAGTTTTTATCCTTCAGTGATATGTGATCTGCCATAAAGATCCAAGATTATGATTCACATAAATATCCCTTTTTAGAAACAACCCTAGAAATCTCGATTACATTGAATCCCAAGAGTATATTTCCCTGTGTGTAAACTTGCATCTTTATTCCATGATTATTTTATACAGTTAAAACCAAGTATAATTGTCAGACAATAAGAAATAAAAACATTAAGACAAGAATAAATGTATAAAACTGACAGGCATTTCCTCATACTTCCAAATTCTTGACCTTTGTGTTCAGATAACACACTAGTTCTAACCCATTATTGTTTGGAACCTATGGCCTCTGTGGATAGCATTTTCACTTAGTGCTCACAACTCTATTTGATTTAATGGTAACTCTAGTTATGGCCATTTGGGAGTATTCAAATTGCTCTGGGGCAATTTACCCATTCTAAGCCTTCCTCTGTGATTCTGAGAAAGTAACTTGGAAGAGAGAAACAGGGAATGGGCAGGGAGAGAGAGAGAGAGAGAGAGAGAAAGGGAGCGAGAGGGAGAGAGAGGGAGGGATAGAGAGAGACAGACTTAGTTATTTTCATTACAATTTGCAATTTATTTTCTGAAACAGCAGGACCTCGGTTCTAACATTAAATATCACTTGAAACTTCATTCTGATTGATTCAAAGATTGAACTCTTCTTTTTTTCTGGTCCAAATTTACTGATATTTGTTGTTAATCTATCAGCATGCCCGGTTTTCTCTTTTGGTAAAATCATTACAACTGAAATTTGTTGTTGACTAAATTGATAACCACAACCTCTCTGTATGGTAAATATATGAAATTAGTAAAGTGGTAGCTTTCTAATTACTCTCATTTTATTTCAGTATGGAACAGGCTGTCTTCATGAAAATAAAGAAAAGAAAAAACACAAGTTAAAAAATCTTTGTTTTGATCTCATTGTGCCAAATAACTGGCTAGACTACAACTTTTATTTGTATTCTATTTGTATGGCTTTGCAGGAATTTAGTTTTAGTGTACATCTGTGGTTGAAAGTACATTTGCTTTTATATTTCAGTCCTCTTAAATTGTGCTGAAAATTATTCTTTACTCAAAGCATCACAATATGTGCTCTCTGGTTCTTCCAGGGGGTAAACATATCATTGATTTTGGCAGTAATTCCTATATATATATCAGTAAATTGAAATTTAATGACCCTCACTTGAAAGTATATTTTGCAAGCAAAGAAAACTATAAAAAATCCAGAATAAACTAATGTAAACTTTATTATGAAAAAAAACAAGATGTAGATACCATAAATGTGACCATAGTGAATCAAAGCAGTGCAGCTTTATAATCTTAATGGATCTGAAACTTGACTGACCAGAACTTACAAATTTACAATTTATCTTATATAGTTTTAGATTGGTCTAAGGTAGTATCTTTTTCTATCTTCATTGTCTTGAAATTCCCAAGTAATTTACTTTGTTCTACCCAGTACCCTGAATCCAAAGATAAGTGTTTGGTGAATAATGGAATGGTGAATGAATGAATTATGGATCAGAAGAACAACTGAAGAATAAAAAAATTATTGGGTAGCTAATATTCACTAAGAGAAAGATATTAACTTAATTATAGAGGCTTAAAAGGATGCCTAGAATAAGTTAAAGGGTCTAAACTTTGTAAAAGTAAAATCCGCTGGATCAAGTTCAAAATTTATACCTATAAAAAAGATATCTGGACAAAGACAGACACTTTAGAACAACGCTGTTCAATGGATCTTTCCATTACTGCAAATATTCTATATTTACACTGCCCAGTATGGTAGCCTATGACTACATGTGGCTATTGAGTAATTAAAATGTAGCTAATGTAATTGAAGAATTAAATGTTTAGTGTTATCTAAATCTAATTAATAGCCACATACATTGGACAGCATAACTCTGGAAAGTTCTTTTTAATGGAAGAAAGGTATGGAAGCAAGATAATCCAACCACAGTAACCAAGACTGGAAGTAAGTAGAAACAACCCTTCTATATTTCTTATAATTATTAGGCATTTATTTATTCAATGAGTACATATACACAAATATTGCACATCATAGACAAACCACCAGCATTCGATTATTATATATGCAAAGACAGAAATTATGCCACTCATGAACATTTTCTGAAAAACGTGCATAATGAATACTCCAGCTGGGAGACAAATAAGCCAAATATGCATAGTTATAAAAAGTTTGCTGCTACAAATGAAGCGAATAATATAGCTTTGTCCAAAGAATGCCTTTATATATAGTGATGAAATAATGCATACGCCAAATGAGCCTGCTTTATATTTATAGTCAAAAAGAACCAAGATTGTGTTTAAACTAGTAAAAAGTGGGGTTACATTTTAGATCCATTGTAAAATGAAGAAATTTTATCCTCTGCAGTTGTTCCAGCATAAAAATCAGTTTAGGCATACTAAGGAAACGCTATTCCTACTGTTTTTTATTATTTTTTAAATGAAAACATATCATGTTTTCAAAGCACATTTTTATAATAATATGCATTTAAAAAATTCTTATAACATGGTGAATTTAGCAAGACAGGCATTATTATCACTCATTTTTAGAAAGCAAAGAATGCTAAGGCTGTATGGGCCTAATCCAACATCACATAGTTAATAAGTGAGTAGAACCAGAACCTGAAGTGGGATTTTGGGAGATGAGTGTGTGCAGTGCTCTTTCTAGTCCAAATTCCTCCTCTTTCATTAATGACAATGATAATGAATACAATAGTGAGAAAATGATGGTGTTGATGGTTACAGTTTATAATCTCCATAGTCTTCATAAAGAGATATACGTTTACCACAGTATTACCAAATTGGAGTTCCTTGTTGATTGATTGTACATTTCCATTGTCACATGTGGGTTTTTTTTTTAAATTATAGTGTCCTTTTTAAATGATATGCCATATTCAAATAAGTTTTTAAGGTACTGTGCTATTTTTCCTCTCCCCATGCTACTTCCCTCATATATTCTGATTTGTAATATTCTATTCTACGTTATCACATTGATTTCTGACTCTGGTCTTAGTAGTCAAATAATTTTTTTAAAGCTTATATTGGTTTAGTTTTGCACAATTTGTTAGAGGACTCTAAATATAAAAATCTATGTCAAATATTTTTATAATCCACTCAAATTAGTGAGTTAAAAATTTACATATATCCTACTTTTCAAAATCAAATGCAACTTTAACAAATCAATTATTATTGGGAATTTAAAAAAAATACCCAAAGCATATCATTTTCATGCTGGCTATTACACAGATAATTCTCTTTTTAAGGAGGGCTTTGTATCATTGCCATTTACTTTCAATAAGATTTAACATTGTTTTGCATTATATCTATTCTGATACAGGCTAATAATATTAATATCATTAGCAAATTGAATTGATATAATTAAGGAACAGAGACTATTTTGTTATTATACTTAATAATACAATCATTTTCCCCATAAGAGTTTCCTTAATTTTACTCTTTGAAAAAAATATTCTGACTAGTTTTAAATAATCGTTCATTTCCTAAGAAATCTAATAAAATCTAATTGCTTAAAAAGTATGTTTCCTGAGAATGTGTAAAAAAAAAGTGTTCTAATTATGTTTCATGTAGAGATTTATTGAGTGTTCATATAATTATCAAATAATGAGACATTATGTTGGTATTTCCCATAGTGGAAATATTGACTTTGTTCAAAAATATTATCTTGAAAACACTTGCATACAAGAACACTCTTTAAGGGGTTAGAAATCATTGAAACAACATTAATGAAATCAAAAAAACACAAAGTAGGTAAAAAAATCATTAAGTAATAAAAGGCAGGCTTTCATTATGTTTAATATGTTTAAACAAATCATTCTTTGCCACCTACATTCAAAAAGGGAAAAACAATTAAAAATGAACAAAGAAGTGGGGAGAAATTCTAATTTCACCAAGTTGGCAAATTGAGCTACTTTTCACTTTCTCAGTTAAAAGAAAAAAAAAAATGTGTGTGTGTGTATATGTGTGTTTGTGCACACCTACAAATATAAAACAGTAAGTTTGTAGCTGTATTTATAAAGTAAAAGAAGCACCAATTGCTTGAAATAAAGAGGGAAGCTGTGGGTAGAAAAGGCAGTGCAGGAACCCATAGGAAGGGTGGCTCAGATGTTGACATTTGTTTATACAGCTTAGACCTTTGATGCCTACACAAGGACTGTAGGCTTGTCTGTGGTCTGGAAGGGTAAGCAGTGGAATTGAAATCCTCATATTGATCCAGAACATTGCAAGTAATACCATGTAGGGACTACAGAATAAAGAACTACCGAAGCACTTCTTACAGCTTCAGGACAGTGCCGGGGAAGTATATCTTCTCCATTCTAAGCTGAAGACATAAGCCACTGAAAACAAGCCTGAACTACAAGGTATGGTGGATTCAGAACTTAGAATATCTTGGGGAATCCTAAGCCTAAAAAGTAGCACCATTAAGGAAACAGGACCAAGCCCAAGGTCTTCTGAGATGCCCTGTAGAAAAAAATGTAAAATGCTGCTCAAGGACAATGCCTGTCAGGTCACCTGTGAATCCCACAGGAAAATGACATGAAACAACTAATTTTTCTCAGGTCCAATATGCTTCCCTAGCTCCCAAATACACGTTTGCACTAAAAACAGCTGCTAATAAGCCACAATTAAAAATTAAGAAAAAAATGGGATCGATACACTCTCAAGAAAGTCAGTGGCAGACAAAACAGATAGAATTGGCACTCAGTCACCCCAACAACTTAAATAATAGAATAATTAGTTTTTGGACAGTGCCCAAAAACTAATTAAAAAATCCCAAAGATATGAAAAAGAAATATAAGCTATAATGAAAATAAAACTCATTCTGAAAAAATAAAAAGATTTGGAAAAGTACCTAGTGGAATGTCTAGAAATAAGATATGTAGTCATTGAAATTAAGAAGTTAGTATATACTTTGAATAACAGATTAGGATAAAGTAGATCATAAAAGAACGTGTACTAGTATGCAAGAGTCTAATGATAGACAAATATTCCCAGAGAAAATTCATTCCTCATGAAACTACACTCTAGAGCTAAGACCATATTTCCCTCAGACCTTCCACCTTATATTTATAGGGATCCAGAAAGGACTCAAGCTCAGCAGACTATAATCTGATCCCCTAGATGTTCTCAGCTTCATCACTCGTTTTCAAGAGGGAGTCATGTTTTCTCCAAGAACCTGTTAGACAGAGATCAACACCTATCACCACGACTGGGGATTAAAACCAGACTTCCCCAGCCTTCCTCAATTTAGGTGGCACAGATCAGACAGGAACTTTCTAATAAATCTGCCCCACCCTCTAAGAGATTAGGAGTGTGTCTTGATATACAACTATTA
The DNA here is from genome assembly GCF_000001405.40 of Homo sapiens. NCBI lineage: Eukaryota > Metazoa > Chordata > Mammalia > Primates > Hominidae > Homo > Homo sapiens. The sequence continues at coordinate 137,770,416 of NC_000004.12, read as the reverse complement.
TGAATCCATAATAAATAAAAGTAAAAAATACTTTTAAGGAGTGTATCTTGCATTCTGGGACCATGACCACTCCTCCTAAGACCATTTACCCCATCACCAGGGTCCAAGAAGGAGACATGCATTCATAATAACAACTGACATTCCTAGATATCCTCAACCTAGGAAGAACAGGGGTTTCAGCTTGCTTGCGACAGTCTCCATTTAAGCTTGTTGTCTCAGGAATTATGACTAGTGCCCTCTTTACTCCTAAAAGTATTTAAGAACAATTACCCTACCTAAACCTCATCAATGCATCCGTTAAGTCGGCTTCTTCCCCATGAGTGTTCAAAAGTCACTTCTAGGTAACACCTAACCTCCTGGACTTCATGCCATCTAAGGATCAGCATATTCTCAATTTTCTCCTCTTCTTCGACCCCTTAAATTGTGAAACCCATCCACTATGTCCTCCGAAATGTATGAACCATTATTGCCCCAATTCCTTATTATATACTCCCCTGCTTCTCTGAAACCCCTGAAAGCATGGTTCTCCTCTGAGAACATTGCTTTCACTGCAGCCTGATCATGTGGTGACTACATTTCTACTTGGTTGCCTACTAGAAATTTCAAACTAAAACATTCAAAAGTGAATTCCTGACCTTATTTTGTTTTTGTTTTTGGGTTTTGTTTTTGTTTTTGTTTTTTTTTTTGAGATGGTGTCTCCCTCTGTCACCCAGGCTGGAGTGCAGTGGCGCCATCTTGGCTCATTGCAAGCTCTGCCGCCCGGGTTCACGCCATTCTCCTGCCTCAGCCTCCCGAGTAACTGGGACTACAGGCGCCAGCCACCACACCCGGCTAATTTTTTTGTGTTTTTAGTAGAGACGTGGTTTCACCGTGTTAGCCAGGATGGTCTCGATCTGCTGACCTGGTGATCAGCCCGCCTCGGCCTCCCAAAGTGCTGGGATTACAGGCGTGAGCCACCACGCCCGGCTCCTGACCTTATTCTTAAGTTTATCCTTCGATAGTCTTCTTCTAAGGCTTAGTTCAAATTCTGGAGTCATATTTACCCCTCAGTTTCTCTCTTATACTACATGCAAATATGCCAACAAATCATGTTGACCCTACCTTCAAAACAAATCTGGAGTTTGAATATTTCTCCCACTTCACTGCTACCCCTCTGGTTCCAGCTATAATTTCTTTCTCAGATTTCTGCAATATCTAACCAGTCTCCCTTTTCTCCCTCTTACCCTTTTTAGGATACTCCCAACACAACAGCCAGAGTGATCCTGCTGTAAGTTATGTCATGTCATTTCTCTGCCCCAAAACCTGAAATAGCCCCTCATTCACTTGTGTAATAGCTTACTTCCTTGCAAGGTCTCACATGACTAACTATTCCAGTTACTCTCTGACTTAACTTCCACTTTTTTTCCATTCCCTGATTCAACTTTAGCCACACTGACACATCTTTTCTAAATGGCTGTTGCCTCTGCTTGTAGTGCTCTGGCTTGGATATTCACACAGCTTCCTATCTGCTTGAATTCTTTTGACGACTATCACATACTCAATGGGGTTTACACTGATGACTACTAAAAAGTAGCACCTCAAGGATTTTCTCAACCTCTCATCCTATGTGACTTTTTTTTTTCTATTGCATTAATCACTCAATAATAGACTGAATAATGGCCTCTGAATACATCCAGGCCCTACTTCTTTAAATCTGTAAGTGTTACTTTATATGGCAAAAGGTAATTTGCAGATGTAATTAAATAAAGGGTCTTGAGATGGGGAAACTATACTGGTTTATCCATGTGTGCAGGGCCCCAAACGTAATCACATGTGGACTTATAACAGGGAGACAGAAAGATATTTTAGTAAAGAAAAGGAGAAGATGTGATGATGAAAGAAACTGGTTGGAATGATGTGAGGAAGGTGTTACCAGTCAAGGAATGCAGCTGACCTCTATAAACTAGAAAAGACACGGAGGCAGATTGTTCCCTAGAGTCTTGTGTCTGATGTCTGGCCTTCTGAACTATAAGAGAAGAAATCCTTATTCCTTTAAGTCACCAAATTTGTGGTAAATTGTTACAACAGCCATAGGAAACTATGAGTCAACCTAATGTATAATTGGCTTATTTATTTTGTTTCTTAATGTTGTTTCCTATTCTTTACTAAAATGTATGTTCCAAGGGGCATTTTGTTCACTTGTATAGTCCTATTTATCAGAAAGTGCTTGGCACAAAGCAGCAGCTTGACAAATAATTGTTAAAGAAATTTGCTAAAATCCCAGTGCTTAAAACAATGAAACATCTTACTGCCTACTTCTCTTCTAGATAGAATGTTCCACCATATATTTCTAGAATATCATGTTTCTTATTTGATTGTGCTTATTCTTTCAGCACTGAACCTATATTCAGCCTCCTTAAGTCTAGTCACTTTCAATTCAAGCTAAAGATTTAAAATTTCAAGCACATTTAAGTTTATAATTTTGTGTCAATTATTTTAAATTTAAATAGCCTACATTTCTCTCCATTGGTATTATCACTTTAATTTTCTGTTTCTTAATATTTTAATAACATACATATCTATGAATGATATCTTACCAGGAAGCCAAGACAACATACTCAAGACGACTCCTGTGGTTGAAACTGGTTAGGAACACTTGAACCCATCCAGCTACTGCCTGATAATATTCATTAGATTTTCCATTATGACCTCAGGGCATTTAAGAAAACTCTAAAACTCCATGTAAGACATTTTAAATTTCCTGCAACAAGATAGCAATAACTAATTTAATATTTTTCTCCAAGTATGATAATGCTGCTTAAAATGAACACTTGACTGGAAGAAAAGGGCATTATAAATAGAGCCCACGTTTAAGAATATCACTGTACAATGTTAATGAGGTTGTAATTCAAACACATATAACTAAAGACCAGCTGCATTATTTTTGAAAAATATTCTTTCTGTAGGGACTCTAACAAAATGTCTGCAACTGTGTAACAGAAAAAATACAATAGACAGCTGTGATTCTGGTTGTAGCAGAGATCTTCAGACAAGTTATTTTTATAATTTCATTTTTTTCTGATGTTTTCATTTTGAATTTTTGAATGGAAATAAATGTTATTTGTATTTGAGAAGCCAAGTGGTTTACATGAATTATTTTGTGTCTTTCTCATTCACTTCATCTTCTCTGCTTATCAAACAAAACTTATTATTTTTGTTTTTACTTTCCCACACTTGCTTCTTGTGGATCTTGGCTTGAATGTCCTTTCTTTGAATCTGCTACTAAACATCTCAATCTAAATCATTTCATATAATGTCTCATTTCTCTCATTCTTTTCATATCATTGCCTATTAAAAAAACTAATACTGCATTTAATAAGGGAAATAAGTTTAAATACTCTCTATGGTTCTTAGCACTACAACATAAACTATAATACTATAAATTGTTGGTTTCCATTTTACAGTGGAAATAACATACTTCGAAAATGTGAAGTACTGATTTCAATGCTAGCTGCGCTTCTCATTAGTTACCTACTCTTAAAAAAAGCGACTTCAATATAATGTCTTCTCTATCAAGTGTTTTTCCACCACAAATCATTAGTTTCCATGAGTGCTATGGTCTGAATGTTTATATTCTCTCAAAATTCATATGTTGAAATTCTAATCCCCAAGACGATGGCATTAGGAGGTGGCACCTTTGGGAGGTCATAATAGCATGTGGATGAAGCCCTCATGATTTGGATTACTGCCCTTATAAAAGAGGCCCAAAAGAGACCCCCATCCTTTCTACTATGTGAAGTTACAGTGGGAAGATTGGCCCTCACCATATCCCGACGCTGCCAGCAACTTGATCTTAGACTTTCCCACTCTCAGAACTATGAGAAATAAATTTCTGTTGTATATAAATCACTCAGTTTATGGATTTTATTATAGCAGCCTGCATGAACTAAGACAATGAGTTCTACCTGTTCTGTTAAATTAGTACCATAGTACTCTACACCCAGCATACAGACATTCTCATATTTGTGCACAGGTAGTTTGTTTGGGAAATAATGACAAGGGGCACAGAGAAGATGGGAAAGCCCATGCTGAGGTTCTTTCTTGAGTTGGTAACTGCTGTGGATAATTGAGGCTCAGTCATGCCAAGAGATTTTAAGAAACCACAAACCATGTACTTCTGAATTGTCTATTTAAGGCAGCAAAATGTGGAACGTCTATTCATTAGCTTGTAGGCCCCTTTGGTCAAGAGTCACCTCATGGGATAAAGATGACTTCCCCACATTTTCAGGTTGAACATGCATAAATGAGAGGTATCTGGAATCAATGAGGTTTAAGTGTTTGTCAGGTTGCACCATCTTGAGCATGGTTGCCATAAATATGAGTGAAGTTAATTTGGGTCCAGCAAATATTAGGTGAGTCACAAGAGGTGTTTGTCACAACAGGGGGTGTCTAGAAACTAGTACAGATTTGAGCTTCTAATATCACCTAACACATTTTTATGGTGAATGAATGAAAAGTGGAAGCCAATAATAACTAAAATATGGAGATATTGTGAGGTTAATTGAAAATGTAAGTAGCAAACTAAAATATACTAGAAAAAACTATACATATTTTTTGAGTTTGAATACTTAAAAGAGCAAAGTTTTCTTTTTTGTAACGGGTTTTTAAAAGATCTTAAGCCATATTCTATTGCATTACAGAAAAACCTACTCTAAGTCAATTCGAATAAGTTCAAAGGAGTTTATGCACCATTATGAAATAAGTTGAGGTGCAGGGTGGGTAGATATGAGACCATCCTCTCTTATGAGAGTCCATAGATTCTGCTCCTCTGAAGATGTAGAGGACATGTTTTCAATCTGGTATCTATAGGGGTTCCCAGGCTTCAAAATCCTTGCTGTTTCTATAGTTCACTCTCATCGTATCCTTGACCTTCTTAACTGGTTCTTTTTCTCAACTGAGGTCTAACACTTTATTGGAAAAACTGGAAAATTTGTTTTGTTTTCTCCAAAACATTCTGACCCCCAGAGGATGTGGAGAGGTCACCTCCCACTTCCATCCACTTTCAGCATCCCATGCAGTTACCCCTGCACAGCTTTATTCTATCTCTGCAAACCCCCCAGTGTCTAACTTCCCTTACTTTTTCTCTAACTTTTCTTCATCCCTGCTTAGAGACAGTATCATTACTATTCTTGGTTTGGGAAAGGAAGGACTGGAGGGCAGGTGGGTGTCATTGGCTCTACAAGTAAAACTTTCTGGAGAAAATTATTACTGTAATGCCTAGGCTGAGAGATGAGATGGACACAGGTGGAGAAATTCCACAAAGCCCAAAGTAGGAAAATTCATCAGTTACTGCATTAACATTTTATTCCATTATACCTGATTATGTATTATTACTTGTATTCCAATACTGAACAAGAAGTATGACAAGCATAAGATTCAGTCAGACGATTTAATGAACAACTAAAAGTTTTCTTGTGACATATCACACCTGTTCACAAGTATTATATTTTGAAGCAGAGGAGTTTAATGTAATATAATTAGTATAGAAATAGTTTATAGTCTCATTATTTTCTGTCAATATATACACATTGGTAACTATTCTCAATAATCTATTTGCTATTATATAGGTAAAACTGTAGGTTAATAGGAGGTATTCATAACATTTTTGGTAGTTTGCTGCAATTAGTCTAATTTATAAATTAGCTGCTTTTAATATAAGTAAATTAATATTTTCATTACTATAGATTAGACCAACATAAATCTTGATACCTCTTTTTTTACATTATTTTATATTTTTTAGCTAAAAATTCCAGAAAAAATTCACAATGAAGTTTTAACAGTACTACTTGGGGTGATTAGAGTTATTTTTATTCTATTCATGATTTTCTTTATTTTCTAACATTACAGTCATATATCAGTTAATGACAGGAATACGTTTTGAGTAATGCATCCTTAGGCTATTTCATCATTGGCCAGACATCATAGCATGTACTTACACAAAACTAGGTGATATGGACTACTATACACATAGGCTACATGGATAGCCTATTGCTCCTTGGCCACAAACCTGCACAGGTAGGCAATTATACTATAAGCAATTACAGTAAAATGATAGGCAACTATAACACAGTCGTAAGTACTTGGGTATCTAAATGTAGAAGAAGTACATAAAAATAGGATATAAAAGATTAAACATGGTACTCCCATATAAGGCGTTTACCATTAATGCAGCAGGCATTGGAAGATGCTCTGTGTGATTAACTGAGTGAGTGATGAGTGAATGTGAAGGCCTAGGACATTACTGCACACCACTGTAGACTTTATAAATGTTGTACACTTAGGTTACACTAAATTTATAAAAAACATTTTTCTTTCTTCAATAATAAATTAACCTTAGCTTACTGAAACTTTTTACTTTATACACTTTCAAAGGTTTTTTTTTAACTTTTTGACTATTTTGTAATAACTGTTAGCTTTATATGGAAACACATTTTAGAGCAGCATAAAATATTCTCTTTCTTTATATTCTTTTCCTATAAACACTTTTCTATCTTTAAATTTTTAATTTTTTTATGTGACTGGCAGTTCAGTAGACTTGTTTCTACCAGCATTACCACAAACACATGAATAAGGCATTGCACTACATCATTTGGCTGTAGGAATTTTTTAGGTCCATTATAATTTTATGGGACCACTATAGTATATGGAGTTCATTGCTAACCAAAATGTTATTAGGTAGTGCGTGACTGTATTTGTCTTTTTCTCTTTTTGCATTGAATACATTACTTTACTAATTAAAAAAATATTACTTAAAATGCTTAGCATTTGACCCAGCAATCCCATTACTAGGCATATGCCCAAAGGAATAGACATCATTATATTATAAAAATACATGCACATGTGTGTTCATTGCAGTACTATTCATAATAGCAAAGACATGGAATCAACCCAAATGCCCATCAATTATAGACTGGATAAAGAAAATATACTACATATATACCATGGAATACTATGCAGCCATAAAAAGGAATGAGGTCATGTCCTTTGCAGGGACAGGGATGGAGCTGGAAGCCATTATCCTCAGCAAACTAATACAGGGACAGAAAACCAAGTGCTACATATCCTCACTTATAAGTGGGAGCTGAATAATGAGAACACATGGACATAGGAAGGGGAACAACACACACTGGGGCCTGTCAGAGGGGGAAGGAAGAAAGAGCATCAGGATAAATAGCTAATGAATGTGGGGCTTAATACCTAAGTGATGCAGCAAACCACCATGGTACACATTTACCTATGTAACAAACCTGCATGTGCTGCACATGTATCCCATAATTTAAAACCAAAAAATAAAAAATAAAATCTTATACTCGTATTTCTTGCAAATTTATTTCTGACCTTTTCCCTTTTTCCTTTTGTATCTGGCTTCTTTATATTCCCATTTCCCAGTTACCACAACTTTTCTAAGTAGATGTGTCATCCACCTGCATTCTCTGCAGTCTGCAGCCACATTGCCCTCTCATGGCTTATGTTTTTAAAGAGAATGTCTGTGCTCATAACATTGAATATGCTGATGAGTCCTGGTACTCAGCAGGTTGACAATCCCCAGCCAACATCTATTGGCAGGCACCGTCCTCTCCATCCTCTCAAATGGCTCTGCTCACCTCCCCATACCGACTGAAACTGTCATTTTCCCGAAACCCCATTGTAGCAAATTAGCTGTTGCTGGCAAAAGTTCACAGGCTGTTTCCAGGCATTAATTTATGATTTGTGCATCTATTTTCTCCATTCAGACTAATGTAGACAGAAGCTCTACTGAGTTTGAACACTTTCTTATCTAGACAACACATCTATGTTGGTTTTTTAGCAATTTCTATATCTTAAAGATATAATCACAATAAGCAGTAAGCATATCTTGGTTTCTTCCCAAGAGTATTCATTTTATTTATTGCATTGATTGAGTTTTATGAACAGAAAGGAAGTACTTTATAGCTAGGTTTACCTCCACTGTAATACTAAACAGTAGAGGATAGCGTTGATAAGACAAAGGGTGGAGATGAGATCAAGATGCCAACATCTCTTCTATATCACTTATTATTCTGTTAATCATTTAGTGGCCTGAAAAAGAAAATTAACTAATGGAGTGGAGAAAACTGAATCTAATGGTGGTAACTCTCACTAACTTTTTTTTAACTCCTTAGGAAATGACTTTAAATGTTACTGCTTGCTTGTTATAACTTTTTTTAGGCAAGAAGGAAAAAAGGAGAAAAAGGGAGAAAAATGCGGGGGGGTGGATACTATGAATTAAAGAATGAAAGATTGATCAGATTATTTGAAGGGAAACCTTATTATATTCCACATGCTGAAGCATAAGTTTAAGACAATCTTTATGTATCATACTATACAGAAATGAAATAACCATGCAAGCTTTCCCCCCTTACATTCACAGTTCCTCCCAGAATCCCTGCAGGCATACAACAGATGTTCAGTAAACACTCGGTTGATGAGAACTCTGGGAAGACATAGCTGTTCGACGAACAGGCATCAGAATTTATCATTTGAAATTATCAACTCAAAAATTCTTTTTTTCCTCATACATATTCTGCTTATGTATCAAAAATTATCATAAGAAACCAAGATTTCTCAGAACATGTGAGGTCAAAATGGCTTATAATGTTAAAAGAAGTGGAGTCTCAATCTATACTCAGTATCTCCCTCTCTTTTATTCATACACATATGGACACTTGCACTTCTAAGAAAAAATGAATTTTTTAAACTCATTCATTTATTAAATTGATATGTATTAAACCAGGTAATATTCATAACATATTCTGGATATAAACATGAACAGGTGAGACAGGCCCCTGCCCTCACAGAACTTATGTTCTGGTGAGGAGCTTTAACATGACCTTGGTGTTGGGATAGGAAGGAAAGCTGTCACACTGAAAGTGATGCTATAGATTCAAAGCCACCAAATGATTGAATACTGCTTCATCTTTGATCAGTAGGGATTGATGCTAGTTAATAAGTTAGCCATTACACTTTGTGTGCTAGAATTAGATTATCTAAATTACTTAATGTATGCCATTTAAACAAACTAAATGTGAGAATGCGATTACCATAAATAATGTGGTCTATTCATTTTTTGCAAAGTAAGAACATATAGTCTCCATTAATAAAATACTTTAGTAAAGATAAAAATGTTGTATATTCACATTGGTGAATGCTATGAAAAAATGAAATGATTAATTTAAATGCAAGATCATTCTGTAATCTTATTTACTGTGCCTCATATGTATTCAAACAAATGTTTTAAATAAACATCCTGTCCAGCATGTGGTTACTTTGTAAGAGTCATAATTTTCCTAAAGTTCTTCAGCAAGTTTCTTCTAATACAGAAGTGTGCCTTATGGCTTTGCATAATAATCACAGCAAGCAAAAATATTATTCCTTAGGCGTATGTTATGTGATGAGAAACAGCCTCCTATATTCCCAAGTTAGGAGAAAAATACTCACCTTTTTGCAGGTGTAAGTTAGCACTGCCAATTTTAAATGAAGCCCGTTTGAAGGCTGGGTTATACATAAACCATTAGTATAATAGCACAATTAACACTACTCCCAGGATAGATGAATAAATTGCTGATGCAAGACTTTGTAAATGCTGTCACTAAGTACAAAGTAATATGATACATATTATATAAATCTATCTATATGATTATGTGAATAAGTGTACACACACACACACACAAACCCAACATATGCCATTAGGTAGAGTTTTGCTAATTCTCATATACTGATAAATGGACAAGTAGAAAAAAAATTCTCTATGCTTTATTTATTTAAATTATTAAAGTAGCCTATCTTTCGAAAGGGAGGTTATACTTTGGCTTAATATATCTTCCCCAATCATAACTTAGGGGTTTTGTTTTATTTTTTCTCAATGATTTGTGAAAATAATAAAGGCCAGTTGACACTGTGAAGTATGGCACCAGTGACTCTTATAGGGTGATGGTCTTGTTTATGGGGGGAGCAGAAACCACATCTATCAGAAGATGTATGGATGAGACAACAGATTGTAATTCGCAATCCTTCCTTTGGAATTCTGCCTCTATTTACAAAGGAGGCATCTAGAAGCAGAAAATACATGCCTATTTTCTCTAGCGTAAAATCTCAAGGGAATCTTCTGTTTAATAGACCATTTCCTATAGTAGGAAGAACAAAGCCAGCATTTTTACTTCTTTTAATAGGCCTTTGTATATGATATAGATGAGTGGTAAATTAGAAAATGAGGGACTGAACAGTCTACTGGACATCAACCTGGAGCTGTGAAGTGGCTTTATCTACATAAAAGAAGAAAAACAACACTTTGAAAGACTAGTAAAAACAACTAAAGGCTTTCTCTATGTAGAGATTATTAGTAGAGAGAAAAGAATCAATAATATTACTAGAACTGAGCTCACTGAATGTTAAAGGAAACAAATATTGCAGATGCTTTCTGAATGCACAATATCAAGGCAAGTTTAACCTGAGTGAAATAATGGACTCCCTCGTGACTAGAGTTGAGGCCCGAGAGCCATTATAATGCACACATGAAAATAAATGTGAATTTATTCTTACCACAAGGTAGTAAAATTATACATTCTCTTTACATATCTGTATGAATTATATGAGGAACAAAAATCATATTGTAAACTGAAAGAATTATTTTTGGAAATTATGTGCTCTTGTTTACAAACTGTTTGTATTTATGACTTTTTTTTTCCGTGGAGACTTTGTTTTGTGTTCTGAGTATACTTTTATTGCTTTTGTTTTATTTTCTTGGTATATTTTCATTGTTGGTGACAAGAGTGTTGCACATCTTCAGAATCTTTTGGAAGGGATGAAGTTTTTGTTGGATATATGTCCCTAGCTGTTTCCCATGCATAAGGAAAATTGTTTGATTATGCTGATAAAATGAAACAGAACTAAATCCCTGACCCTGTTGGTAAGAGAAGAGAGATGAGAATACTAATGAAAAGAGTCAGAGAATGGAAATGTACTCAAGAGGAGGCCCTGGGCTCAGCTCTTAAGAGGACTAAGGAGAAAGCTGACAATGAACAAGGGCTCACTTTTGTCACCATCTGTTATTGGTCATTCTATCTCTTTCAACCTGACATGCTTTTCTCTCCTTGTCTGTGTCATCAGAGAGATTCTACTTGACTCTACCAGCCTTTCTTCCATTTAGTATGGCCACCTTCTTTTTTCTTTAGGGACAATCCCAGTCTATGTGGCTTACATGGGGCTGAACTCACCACTCAGTTCCAGAGATCAAACAGATCTACCTTTGATTGAGTACAGTCATAAGGATTAGTTTAGGAATAGGTCAATCCATCGGCCAAAAAATAAAAGTTGGTTCTAAACTTTTGTTGGAACCATCTGGTGCAAGCCTCTTCCTGCTGATGTACTTAATCTGGTAGCACATAAGCCTGGACCTTTGAGAACCATAGAGGAGAGTCCTTCAGAACAAAGCCCATGAAGAATCACAGCCAGGTTATAATATATGTAAGAAAGACAAATTCCTGGTGATACTCTTTGAACACCATGATCCGGCTGCTCTTGAGGTTACTCTTGGAATATTTCAGTATTGTAAGCCATTCATTTCTCTGTTTTAAGATAAGCTGAGTTGTATTTACTTGTAACCCAAGAATAATGTTAATATGCCATAGAACTGATGCAAGTAATACAAGGTTAAAATGATAGAAATGTATCCCTACATAAGCCAAAAAGCAAAGTAAAACAAAGAAAAACTATTGAAGGCACAGGAAGGTGAGAAAAATTATGGAGAGAAGTCAACCTTTGGATAAAGGGAAGACATGGGGCAATTGCTCAATTTTGCAGTTGCTAGCTTGAGGGTTTTTAGACTCTGCCATATGTGCTGACTAAATCTCTAATAAAAGCCTACAATCTTTCTCATTTTGGACAACCATAACTGCTGGAAAGTAAGGGAAAACTCCCAGAAAAATAGGAGTTACACATAGGGAGTCCTAAGTTCTATGGAAAAAGTATGCAAAATCCCTGGCGGGCTCCTAAACCATGCATTTTGTGTGAAAAACTTTAAACATCCCAGCCAAGAATAAAGCACTGAACTGAGATTTGAACTGCCATCAAAAGATAGTTTGTAATTTAATACCAACCTAGTTAATTGATGACTGAAACAACAAAAATCAATCCTGTTCAGGGAAATAGAATCTATAATATTCACAAAGTAATATTCACAATATCTAGAAGACAAAACAGAATTATTTAAAAATTTTTGAAAAGCAGAAAAACAGGATTCATTCTTTAAAAAAGATATTTAGTGGTAATCAATGTCAACATACAACACTTTTTAATTAGCACAGAAAGAGTTTAAAATATCTTGTGATTTGAAAAAAATGCTTGTATAAATGAAAGAATAAGAATGCTCAGCAGAGAAATATAAATTAAAAAAAGAGCCCAAAGAAATTGTAATGAGGAAATAAGAGTATGATTCCATTACAGAAAAAGGATATAAGCAAACTGGGTAGAAAACCAAGTATCTTTTATATAGACTAGGAAGCATCTCTTCTTCTGGCAACATTTCCTTATGATCAGTGTATTCAGGAGATTAGTTCCTATTTGTTATATTCTTAATGCATAGTGAATTCAGCATAATAAAAATATTAGTCTATAAATGCACTTCTAAATTCTTTATTATTAAGGAGAAACTTTACAAATAAAATTAAAATTCACATACTTCAGAACCTGTCATTTTAACTTTTTGCTTTTTTTTTTTTAACATTTTAAGCTAACTTAAATTTATTTTGGTACAAAGTAGTAGAATATACAATAGTAATTATTTTCAGGTGAAGTCAGAGAAACTAATTTAAAATTGTCCAAAAGTACAGAGGGACATAAATGGTGATGTGATTTCTCTGTCATATAGTACAGACAGCAATTTTACAACATTGCAGAAAAAAATAAATTTTAGTACTTTCATGAGAAAGGCAAAGTACCCTGGTTATAAAACATGTATGCATTAGAATCATGCAGACAGCTGTATTATTTATTAGATGAGTGCATTTGGGCCGTTCCTTAGCTTTTTTGAACTCATATAGCTCATCTGAAAATGGAGGTAATGATACGTATCTCCAGTAGTGCTAATAATGCAGCTAATCAAAACAAACAAACAGTCCCCTATTTTTCAGTATTTTTCCAATTTCTATAGTGTAACTGCTTGGACCATGACCCATTTCAAGCTAAAAACATGGAATCTCTGAAAAAGGAGATGGGAAGAGACGTATCCAATCAGTTCTCTTAAGTGGAGGCAAGCTGGTTTCGGGGCACACCACATCCCCCAAAAGAGTGTCATGAGAATTAAATGATGTAATACAGTTGAAGTGCTTAGCACAGTGACTGACATAAAATAAGTCTTCAACAAAAGGGGACTTAATGATGATTAACTGATGAAGAGTTTGCACAACACTGCACAGAGTACCATGAGATGTAGAGGACAGAATTTATCTCTCTTTCAAATAACTTATGGATGTATTAAACACATTCAAGAGGAGCATTAGAAGATGTATCCTCATTATGATCATAATTATGACCCACTTTACTTCCAGTTATTGTATTAAATATCGTTACCCTTTTGAAAGAGCTGGATGAGAATCACACTGTGAAGAATGAAGTAAAACTCTTGCCAATAATAGCATTTAGTCCAAGTTCCCAATTCTCTAGGCACAAGAGATTAATTTTCCATTGTTCCTTAGTTCTTACCAGACTTTCTTTGACAATTTGGTCATAAATCAAACTTTTTTCCCATTGAAGTAGCTGATTTGTCTGCTACATTTACCTTATAGAGTTGTTTATCCTAATTGTTACCTTGCTATTCTGACCCATGGCTATAGATTAGGCTGAACAATTTGTTAGTTTTCCCAGGTCTTTTCCAGTTTTAGCACTGAAAGTCACATGTCGTGGGAGCCCTCTCAGTCCTAGGTGAATTGGGACAGTTGGTCACCCTAGTATAGATAGATCTTCAATTCTTCATTGCATAGGTGGTTAATAAATGAAAATAGTGTCCTCAAAAACAGAATAATTAGGATTATTCTTATGTAGTGTGCTTATTGAGTAAGTAAAATCATCAAAATTAAAAATAAGCTACACTTCCAAATGATCTATGTCATAATTGAACCGAAGCACAATCTTCTGCGGGGACTTGATGAAAATTCCCAGTTGCTAAGGGAAAGAGTGGGAAACAGGATTTTGTAATGTTGCCAGTCAAAATGGTCCTCCCATCCTGGAATTAAATATATAACATTCCATAAGAACCGGTGTTATCTTTACTTTATTATTCCTTCATTATATTGAATATTTAGTGTTCTTGCTAATGAGGGTTTTGGCAATTACCCTTACCAGTTTCTTTTCTCCTACTTTAATGTTAATTATTTTCTCAAGGTACTTATGGCCACATTAACTGATACTGAACCCCAGTGTATATTATCATCTCTCATGATACAATGTAGACAATAGTTTAAGGCTGCCTTATTGGCAAATGATAAAAAAAATACTATTCTTTAAATTAGAAATCAATTCAAAAATAAAATAAGGCAAGAATATTTTCTTCATCACAGTATACCTAGCAAGCCACTTCCCCGGTCAATGCCATCGATAAATTGTTTTATCTTTTGTGAGAGAAATTAAATCAGTCTTTGCATTACTGAGGTATATTGCAATAGTAATTCCAGTTTCAACATGGGGATTTTAAAACGTATCCACTTTTTGTCTAGGGTTCATAATTATTAGAAAGACACAATGACATTTGTTTTGCTCATAATATAAATCAGGCTTTCCGACATTTCTTTTCATCTTTATATATCTGCATTTCTTTTCATCTTCTGACTAAGAACAACTGATAAATATTATGGTTCCCTTTCCTTCTACAACACATTCTTGGCTAATTCCCCAGGGATTCCCTCAAGGTGTCTCCACTTTGGAATGATTTACAATATTCCTCTTCCTTCTTTGCCAATGACTTCAATATGCTGCCACACCTCCATCTGGTATGGGAAGTAGAGAGTGTTCTGTTCAAGAATGCTGAGCAAAGGAACAGTCAAAATACTCACTCCTCCCACTGAAGGAAAAAAAAAGGTAAAATTTATTAGTCTACTGAAAAAAAGACAAGCTGCTAGAGATTTTCAAAATTCCAGCCATACTGTTGAAATGGCATTTCTTTGATTATGTATGAATCATCACTTTTGTAGAGGAAAAAAGGAGACATACATTGAGTATCACACTTTCTCTGAGATGATCTAATAGCTCAGTAATTCCTACAGCCTGTCAGTTCCTTCATTAGAAGTCTTCAATGACACACAATGGATCATTTATCTCAGACTTCAGATTGGGTGATTGTCAACAGGACCCTCGAGGTTTTCTGAGGTACCCCTGTGTAAATGAGAAACATTGAGGTAGCAATGAAATCATCTTAATCATTAAAAGGGAAGCAAAGATTGAAAATTGACCCTTAGGAATGGCTAATTCAATAAATCTCTTGACTCTATAAATCTGTGCTCATAGGCTGGCTGGCTGAACTCTAAAGAGAATGGTAGTAAACTTTTATTTCCTCATGACAAGGCATTACTTAAAAAGCATTGAAGCATGCAGCAGAAATTTTAGAATATTTTTGTGTCCAAGGGAAACCATCTGTCTATTATAAAACCAAATAGTTAAAATATTTGATTTATACATACATGTGTACATGCACACACACATTATATTAATATATAGATGATAGTAGCCAAGGGTGATTGTGTGATTCAGTATTTTTATGTTTTAAAAATTCAGTTGCATTATCTGCTCAATGACAGAGCCAAAAATTATTAAAATAAAAATAAGAGAATTAGCTCACAGAATGGGTCCAGAACTCCAAATATAAGTATGAGGTAAAAAGTATAATTCTACCATTATAAAAGTATATAAAATTTACATTATAGCTATAAAAGTACAGTAAGTTCTCACTTAACATCATTGATAGGTTCTTAAGTACTGCAATCTGAAGTGAAACAATGTGTGATGAAACCAATTTTACTGTAGGCTAATTGATATAAACAAAGTTAAGTTCCTATGGCATATATCCGGTCACAAAAACATCATCAAACTTTCAAATGAAGACCAAAACACTTTTAATATTAAACACTGAAATAAATGTGAGCTATACATACACTTAAGAAAGGTTAATAGAAACAAACAAGATAATTATTTACCCAGTTATCCCAGTCGTGAGTCTCTGGTGGCATCTTTGTTATGTGGGAGGAAACCAGAGTAAAAACAAAATGAGATTATGCTCTAAATACTGGTTTTGAAAAATCATAACTAAACACTATTACACATACACTTATATAACCATCTGTAAAATTAAAAAGATACTGTGTACTGATGCACAACATATGATGTTTTCTACATCATGCTTGGCTGTCTTTCTGATTTTCTAACAGGATATGTTGTATTCCATGTTATGGCTAAAATACAAATGTTTAATTTAATTGCTATCAGTGGCAATTTAAATCATGTATATTTTTATGTAAGAATTGCCCTATATTTAAAGGAAAGCCTATTTCAAATTTTGATACTGCCAAATCATTAGGTTGGTCCAAAAATAATTGCAGTTTTCTTTTTTTTTTTTTTTGAGATGATGTTTCACTGTGTAGCCCAGGCTGGAATGCAGTGGCGGGATCTCAGCTCACTGAAACCTCCGCTGCCCAGGTTCAAGCAATCCTGCCTCAGTCTCCCGAGTAGCTGGGATTACAGGTGCCACCACCACGACCAGCTAATTTTTGTATTTTTAGTAGAGACGGGGTTTCACCATGTTGATCAGGCTGGTCTCGAACTCCTGACCTCAGGTGATCTGCCCGCCTTGGCCTCCCAAAGCGCTGGGATTACAGGTGTGAGCCACTGCGCCCAGCCCAATAATTGCTATTTTTTTCCACTAAAAGTAGACAAAACCACAATTACTTTTGCACCAACCCAATACTCTCCAAAGAGGTTGCATGACTTCAGAAATGTATAATATGGCTGACTTCTACATGTCCTTCCAATCACTGTGTATGATGGATTCTTTTTCACTTTTGCTAATCTGATACATGATAAATATCTCAAATATAATTATGTATACTTCTCATATTATTATAAATGCTGGAGATCTTTATGTGTTTACTTAATATTATGATTTTTCTGTGAGTTATCTAAATTTACCCTTTCAAAATTGTTTTAAACTATTTATTTAAAAATGAAACCCTGACTACCTGATTTTCGACATAAAATTTGACTGGGTATATATAGTGCTGCTGTTCCTTTACTACTGAAAATGGAGGATAAAAAATTGATATTAGTTAGTTCAACTAGCATTCATTTGTTAAAAAACAAACAAACATTTATTGAGCATAAAGTCTTTCCTTAGGAAGGTATTGAGTCCCAAATATACAAATTCAAAGCACTCTACACTGGAACTAGCTAAGCCACTCTTGAAGAATTGAATCTTCAAATTAATTAAAGAAAAGTAACTGTTTAATTCTGTGAATTGCATCCTAGAATCTGAAGAGAAGCACAGTTTTCAACGTCTATTGGTGTTCTGTGGAGATCATTTGCAATGGGCAGATGCTGGGGCTGCCCTCTGCCTTCATTGAAATGTTACTGCTTTCCAGCTTTCTCCTGTATGTGTCACACACTGCCTCTTCTTTTGTCCTCCAACCTTCCCCTTATCATGAGATTGCTGGGCCCTTTGGAAAACTCTAACTATATATTAATACATTCTTCACTACCCTACTATCCATTTATACTTCTCCAATGCCCTTTGTATTCTAATAGCTCACATTCTAAGGATTACCTTCTGCTGAGGTCTATGATGGTTCTCTCATTCAAGTTTCTACCAAGAAGTATCTTTAAATCTTCCAGACGTGTTGATTATCTTCCCTATTTATCTTTATCAACCGAGTCACACTGACTATTATACTATCCAAAAATTTAGGCAATTCATATTTTCATTAACAAAAAAACCCCAGTTAATATACATTTTATTCCCTTATAACCAAGTATATCTTCATATACTGCATTATTTTTCTATAGAAAGTGAATTATAACATTTCTAAGGTCTCCCAAGTAGGTCTAATTGTGCTCTATATTCCCCTTTCTTAAAGCCACAAAACATTCAGAAAAGTTGTACAACTTCTCTATAGTAACTTTTAACAATATAACATTGATTGAAAAAAAAGAAACTGTGGAAGATTGGATACACACTGGAATTTTGAAATTTGAATATTTTTGTCTGTACAATAGAATTTGAGAGGGAAAATACAGAAATTTTTATATTTCTGCTATTGCTATAAGATTATGTTTAGAAGTTTAAAAAATTTTTCAATATATGAATAATATCCAGGTAACATTAATTTTTAAAAGTTGTAAAGCAAAAAGATAATCTAAAATAGCTTACCACTTAATCTACACTATCCGTGTCTAAGTAGAGTATTGTTCCTGATGAGAAAATAGGCTAATAAAATCACCTGGTGTAACTCTTTCATTGTTACACAGATGAAACAAAGAAAGCCATGTTACCAAAACACCAAGGGCTCAGTCTAGGTCCTGCTGCTCGCCACCCAGAAAGCCAATAACTGACACCATGAATGTTGCCCGAGAAGAGGCTTTAGTTGGGCAGATGAGGAGATGAGAGATCAGTCTCAAACCCATCTCTTCAGCCAACTAAAATTAGGAGTTTATATAGCAAGGAAGAAATGTAGCAATGTATGGCAAGACAGGAATTGGAGAGAGATAAAGAAGATGGGTGTAGCAGGTGGTCGGTTAGGCAATCGTGAAGGGTGAGGGCTCGGTCTAATGTCTCATTGTCTAGACACAGTGATCTGGTAAATTCAGTTCCTAGATACTATCTGGAAAGCCTGTTGGTTGGTTTCCTGAGAAAAGAACTCAGACAAGACAAAAGTAACTTTCTCAAGTTTTAAGACTGGGACAGTCAATTTCTATGCTTATTAAAAAGAAACCATAAATGTCAATAGGACAACTGGGCCAGTTTCAGCCGGAGTAGCTGGGGTAGGTTTGGTAAACAAGTGGAAGGTGAAAGGCTATGATGGGGGTACATGTTAGTTTAAGTCCTTTAAGAAGCAGACACTAAGGTGGGGTTAGAGGTTGAATAAAAGAAAGGATTTATTGGAGAAAACACCCGTGAAGAAAAAAATGGGAGAGAGCCAGAGGAGGAGCTGGAAGAGACAGTGAGAGCTATCAGATGGCGGTAACGGTCCAACAGCTGTGAAGAAGAGTATGAAGGAGGGAAAGTTAGATAAGTGGATTCTCTTACTGAAGAAGAATTCTAAACAGTTTTGGTCAAGTTGATGACAAGTTCTAGGGACAAAGTTGCTTATCAGAGGTGTTCTAGAACTCCTAAAAACGGACCTGCCTTAGAATCCTTGCCACTTCCAGCCCTTTGCCTAAGATTAGCCTATGGGAAGCATGGCCTCTGTGTGAATTGGTGGTGGATTCAAAGCACAGCATCTGGGGTCCTGTGTCAATTACGCTCTCCTCAACAGAAGATCTGAGTGGTGGTGCATCTTCATGGCTGCTGGCAGGTACCTCTCATTTTTATTCTATCTTGGAAAAGTATCAATCCAACAAGTCAAAGACACAGTGGCTAAAGTCAAAGCCTAGTTGGAAAATTGGAGTTACATGAAATAATCCAATAATAAAGAAAGAGAAATTAGGAACTCCAGGATTGGACATACAACGGTTTATATGGGGTAGCAGGTGGTTACCACTCTGGAGGTAAGAGTAAAGGAGACATTTACAATCGTCTCAATTAAAGTTTATATGGGTGAACTTGCTTTGCTTTCAGAAGGTGGAATTCAATAGATAGAATAAATGAGTATTGTCACTATTGGGATACTTTTAATGATTCCATTCTAAATGCAATCCAGACCGAACTAACCTAATGAAGAATGATCCTATCTAAATATTTTTATTTTGCCATTTAGTGAAATCGAGTTCTTTTCTCATTTATTTGGCTGTGATTTTGGAGTAGTCAAAAGTGATGGGAGTGGCAGTAGAGCAGAAGAGGGAAGCAGCGGCCCAACCTCAGTTCTAGGTGTAAGTGGTAGTAAAATGGAGCTACAGTCAAATCTTGGATGATTCTTCATAGTAATAAAAAGAGATAGGTTCTTTTTATTCTTAGCATGCTAACCAAGCACTCTTTTCCTGTTGAGTGGAAGTCATTGCCACAACATGAACACCAGGACCCAGAGTTATGTTCACAAGTTTAATTATTTTAAAAGACACCAAAACATCTGTGCTCTGCCATTTTACATTATATTAATTTAAGATGACAGCTTCTTCAATGAGACAAATTTTTTCTTCTGTTTTACTTGCATACTGCCCCCCCATGGTAATTATTGTAGACATTATTTCACACGGGGTGGTCCACAGTTATTTAACACCTTATATCGCATTGGGATTTCTGGATAATAACTCATTAATTAGGTGGACAGAAGAGAACTGTGTCTGTAATAGTGGCAAAGAGCCAAGGCTTACTCCTCCCAGGTGTTCAGAGAAGTTGCTAGAACCCAATCCATCTTCAGAGGATGACTAATATAGGTTCAATGGAGGAAAAAACTGACATGAAGGAATGCTATTTCAAATCATCATTAAAAATAAGGTGAATTTCATTATTCAGATGAAATTTGTTTAAATAAATCTTCCCAAGGAGTTACTAAACAACATTCTTGGAGTGCTTCCAATTTTGGGCTGATACAGCTTCCTGGAGAGTCCAGTAAATGTTTTGAAAGATACCACTTAAAACATGTTATTTTATTATATTTCAGATTGTAATAGCAATGAAGGTATTCATAAACTGCACTAGAACTGGCATTCATTTGGAGAAATTTGAGGGCCTTTTATGTCTAGGGAATGATATTTTTTGAACAAGAAATATTTTCACTCACATGTTTCCCTTTACTGGGGTCTTTTATACATCTCAAGTTGTATGACTTCTTGCTGTCAATGTCTGTGATGTTTTGAATCAATTTTTGTTTGAAGATCAGGAAAACAAAGTTTAATTCATAATGATTCATTTTCTAAACTTTTTTTTAAAGATGTTTCTCTGAAAAATAAGGCTTTTACCTTGACCGAGGTTAATTTGTATGAAAGGTGGTGATAGCCATGAAAAAAAGCGAAAATTTTCTGATCAGAATATAGTCTGAAATAGTCTAAAAAATGAAATTTTGCAATTGTTCAGATTTGTATATCATGCAAATATATTTTAAATCATAAACCTTATTAAAATAAGTTTTAGAAAATCAAGTTAAGTTGCATATAAGTTTCAGCTATTGGGAACCTTAATAAGTACTGGCACTGCCCTAGCAGAACATGCACAGAGACAAGACATTGAATAGGACGAGGGGATAAAAGTGCTTTGGTTTTGAGGAATATAGTTTTATTATTTGCCCTACATTGAAGATATAAAGTAACACGTTATTGAAATTCTACTGTGAGCAGACATTTATTCCTAAATCTTGTAAATGAATCAAACATTAGGAAAAAAATGCTCTGCCTGGAAAAATGCCTAATACTGAGGCTCAGATGTGCATTTTCTGCCGCTTCATATTTTGACAATGCAGTACTTGAAATAGGGATGTGTGTTATTGTCAAGGGACATGTATCCTTGTCAGCCTCTTTTTTTGTCTTTTTTTAGTCTTTGCTATGCCATGCTTGGCTACCAAAATGAAAACTGTAAAGAATTAGCTATTGCTTGCCAAACCCCATGTGTTTTCCAAGTATTTTAAAATAAAACGTCCCCAATTTTTCTGACTCACCATTTTTAGCATTTATTAATTATATTTTGAGGCATATTTTTACAAATGAAAAAGTAATACAAAAAACCCATGAATTTTATGAATAAAACTTCTGATTCGCCTTTTTAAAGTGCAACACTTGAAAAAGAAAAATAATATTTGTCTTAAAGAGCTCTGCTCTTTCTTTTTGAAAAAAAGCATCAACATTCATGTTGCTAATTTTATTTGAAAACTGTATAGCATCCTATCATCGTTTTTTAATTCCTAGTTGAAGAGGTGCTCTGGGTTGAATTGTCATTGGCTAATAACACACATATTGAAATCAAGTAAGCTAAAGGGTATTCCTCAGATATGTTCTGCTTTAGAACCTATGGAAGTGGTAATCTTTGCTAAAGATTACAGAGAACTCTGGGGGTCAATAAGATGAAGGTTAAGGAAAATAAGAATTCTATTTTGGGGTAGAAAGGCACAATACTTCTTTTATACTTTGTCGTATGTTAATTTATTTAACAGACATCTGGTGAACTCTCACTAGGTTTCAGACACTGTGTAAGCACATATTTTCTCTAGTAATGAAACTAAGAGAATAAGAATGTATCTTAATTGGTAAGTGTATAGATGATTGATATAATACATGTGTTATAAATCATGAAAATTTATTTTTTGATTGTAGCATTAAAATAATTTTTTCTATATATGTTAAATAATTGAATTGTTTTCATTGTAAGTTTACTGCTTGATTTCTTAGGAATTAAGAATAACATTTTCTTTCCATTGAGCATAAAAAAGGGGAAAAAAGAATAACATGTTTATTATTTTCCTGAAATCATATTCCATTTTGAGTATTATCATGTAATGTCTACCAATCATTACTGGCATACTACTACTTTTACAAAATAATAATAGAAAAAATAAGACCAAGTTAGATGACTGACATTACTGGATTTCAAGACACACTATGGTAATCTAGACAGTGTGATATTGATGAAAGAACATAAATAGAAAAAAAATTGGCAATGGAACATAATAGAGCCCAGAGCTAGATACATATAGATATAGTCAACTGATCTTTGACAAAGGAGTATAGACAATTCAATGGAGAAAAGATAGTCTTTTAATAAATGCTGTGGGAACATCTGGACATCTACATGCAAAAAGTAAATCTGGACACAGACCTGACAACCCTCTACAAACACAAAAACTCAAACTGGATCTAAAATATAAATGTAAAACACAGAGGTATAGAACCCATAGAATATAACATAGAAGAAAGTCTAGATGACCTTGAAATTGGTGATGACATTTTAGTTGCAACACCAAAGGCATGATCCATTAAAAAAATGATAAGATGGACCTCGTTAAAATTTAAAATTTTTGCTCTGAAAAAGACACTGTCAAGACAAGCCACAGACTGGCAGAAAATATTTGCAAAAGACATATCCGATAAAGGACTCGAAATACACAAAATATACAAAGATTTTCAAACCTCAACAATAAGAAAGCAAACAATACCATTTTAAAAAATGGGCCAATATGGTGAAACCCCGTGTCTACTAAAAATACAGTACTCAACCTACTAGGGAGGCTGAGACAGGAGAATTGCTTAAACCCAGAAGGCGGAGGTTGCAGTGAGCCGAGATCGCACCACTGCATTCTAGCCTGGGTGATACAGTGAAACTCTGTCTCAAAAAAAAAAAAAAAAAAAGTACCGGAGACCTTAACCAACATCTCACCACATACAGGTGGCAAATAGGCATATGAAAAGATGCTCCACATTATATGTCAGTAGGGAAATGCAAATTAAGCAACAATGATATATCACTACACACCTATTAAAATAGCCAAAATCTGGAACACTGACAACACCAAATGTTGGTGACAATGTGGAGCAACTGGAAGGTTTATTCACTACTGGTGGGAGTATAAAATGATACAGCCACTTTAGAAGACAGTTAGGAAGTTTCTTACAAAACTAAACATAACTTTAACATACAATCCAGCAATCATGTTCCTGGGTATTTACCTAAAGGGACTGAAAACATGTCCACACAAAAACCTGCACATACACATTCATAGAATTATTATTTATAATTACAAAAAGTTGGGAGCAACCAAGATGTCCTTCAGTAGATGAATAGATAATAATCTGTGGTACATACAGACAATGGAATATCACTTAGATCTTAAAAAAAAGAGCTATCAGGCCATGAAAAAACATGGAGGAAACTTAAATGCATATTATTACTTAGTGAAAGAAGCCAATCTGAAAAGGCTACCTACTGTATGATTGCAATATATGTTATTCTGGAAAAGGCAAAACCTTAGAGTTATTGAAAAGATCCGTGGTTTCCACAAATTAGGAGGGAAGGGAAGGGTATAGAGGAAGAGCACGAGGGATATTGAGGGCGCGTCATCATGCATTTATTCAAACCCATAGAAGGTACAACATCCAGAGTAATCTTAATATAAACTATGGAATCTGGTGATAATGTTGTGTTAATGAGGGTTAATCAATTATAATAAATGTACTACTTTGATAATGGTGAAGGCTATGCATGTGTGAGGGCAGGGGATTTAGGGGAAATCTCTGTACCTTCTATTGAATTTTGCTCTGAACTAAAACTGCTCTAAAAAATATAGCCTATTAGAAAAAATAAAGACCCTGTGATAAATTTGCCATGAAATTCTTATCAGGATGACTTTAAAAAAATCTACTTTTTATACAATTAAAATCATATTTGCTCAGAGAATCAACCGAGGATAATATATATAAAAGAACAGTTTCCACCTGGGTTACATGAGTGACTATATGAACAGAATGGCATTGTACCATCCAGCTTTTTTTAATAGTACATGAACCAGTTACCAGAAGTCGGCACCAGAAAAAAAAAGAGTTTTAAATGTATTACTTGTCTCTGACCAGAATACAGTCTCCTGTCATAGATGTTTAAAATTCTAACGTGCACAATATTCATTGTTACTATTCCTCCCAACATGGTTGGCTGTTATGTAATGGAATGAATTATTTTGTTATAATGGAAATACCAATGCTTTATTTCTATTCTCCATTCAATTTCATTCTCTGAAGCTTTGAGGTTGCACTGCTTTTTTGTTTATTTTGTTGTTTAAATATAATCAAGGTAGAGATTATTTTTAGAGTAAGTTAAGTTAATAGTTTACTACCATTCCTCTTGGTGTTACCTCAGATCTTTTTGTTGGCCTTTATTTCACATTTTCCTCTTTAGGTAATCTTGTATTCTACTTGTCTTTTGCTGAGCTGTGGACTGTGTTATTGACACTAAATCTACATGTCCTTTGCAGATGTGTCTTAATTTTTCTTCATTGGCATACATTCAATTGCCTTATAAGACCTTTACTTAGATATCTCAAATACTTTTTAATTTCCATCTCTGCCAAAGTAAACCCATTATTCTACCCATTACTAAACCTCTGTTTTTTTTTCCAACATTTCTCATTTTGATTTGCAACTCCATCACAATCTTTGATCAAAAAGTCAAACTATTGAAAATCATTAACTTAGTAAGGATGTCAGCTCATAAATTAGTTGCCATAACTAGTAAAACCCTCAGTCTTAATGGCTTAATTCAATACAATTTATGTCTCACTCCTACCGCAGTCAAAAATAGGTATTTCTGGTGGATAGCTCTCCTGCAAGAATCGACTCAGGAATGCAGATTCCTTCCATCTCATCTCCTACTTTAACATTTGGCTCTCAAAGTCACTGCGAAGTTCATCTCCATCTAGTAGTCAAAAGAGGCAAGACGAATAAAGCCTGTCGGAGGCTTTTATGCAGCAAGTACAAGGCCTTTTATCTTTTTTGCCACAATCTTATTGACCAGATCTCTATGTATGGCTATACATAACTGCATGGCAGTTGAAAACTTTAGGCTGTTTGTCCAGAAGGAAAAAGAAATGTGTTTTGATTAATACATAAAAGTATGTACTTCATTAGCATAGATTCTGCTTCAAAATCTCCCCAGCCCATTTCCAAATGCCTTTATCATGTTTTTATCTATGTTTGTGTCTCTCTTTCTCTCGCCTCCCCATCTCTCTCTCTTTCCTGAAAAATTTCAAAGGACTTATAATTGATCTATAAAATGGAATCGTCATAGTGTCAAAATTCCAAGTTAATTTTAAAGAATAAAGATGATCTATGTAGTATTTCTGGCCTATAATAATGTTTAATGAGTGGTATTCATTATTGTCATTATCATTATCTTCCTACATTGGATTACCAAGTTTGGACCAAGAAATGCTTAAAGATAACATGCATTTTTCTTCATCTTTCTATCAACAATGCCCATTTTATAAGATTTAAAGATTCTTTTGATAGTGGGCCCAACAAAAAGACAGAGCTCTCGTTACAGCTTCAAACAAGAGAACGCAGCCATGCATAGCCATGTAGGGGCTTGCACCTGGGGGCTGGGTAACAACAAACTGGAGCTGTAGGGAGCAGCTTATGTGCAGCAAGTGGGATGGGGTTAGCTGGGTTTTAAATGCTCCCTGGAGATAAACTAATTTGAATAATTTTATAGTCTCTTGGAAATATGAGTTATCTTTAATTTTCTGGTACATGGCCTGGGGTGATTAGAGCAGATGCATGGCAGCTCTGAGAATGAGTTTGATAAAGTTGGTGTGTGGACTTGATCAGCTGCTCAAAATGAAGCTGGTGGACTTCTAGCAAAGGCGCTAAAACTGGGGAAAGACAGTATTTTAAAAACACAAACAATATATCAGTACCTTACAGAATACTTGATAAATATAGCTACATATTTTATTTTGTTAAATAGAAATAAATTAATATCCTGGGAATAATATGCAACATTATTTCTTGTGTCTTATGCTTAATAGTAAAGTTTGGCTTTGGCTATTCTAACATCGATGATGAATTTGAATAGTTATTGCAATGCCTTTTATTACAAATCTATTAGGAGATACATACATAGTGCCTTGATGTGTTTAATTACCAGCAAACTGTAAAAACTTCAGAAGATTTTAAAATAATGAATTTTTAGACCTGACCATAAATTGACTCTTGTTTTTTATTACATCGGGCAATGTCTCCAGATTCTCACACCCATAATTTGATGGAAGAAACAGCATGTCAAAAGCTATCCTTCTGATTAGCACCATGCATTTTATATACTGCCTATTGAAAAATATTCATACTAACCTTCAATTTATCACATATTTTTATTAGCATTGGAAACATAGCCACTTTCTGGTTTCAACATCTGTGAAACAGAATGGACATTCAAGAAGAAAACTAAGAGTTATGTTTTTTTTTGGTAAATCATGCATCCTAGTTTTGACTATTTTTCATTCTTAATCATTGGGATGCCTCACACAATTCCATCTGCAATAGAGTTGGCATGGTGCTCTCCTTGGAATCGATATGTATTCCTATTATGTCTTCTTCATCTTTATAGGAGAGAAGAGAAAACCATTTTCATCTCTTCTAATGCCAGACACCTGCTCCAATTATCTAGTTTGGTTCACACAATTCAGTCATTTCCAGGGTTATTATAAACTTACATGGGGAACAATTCTGGCAAAAGACACATTTTCATTTGAAGTGCTTGCTTCTGGTTTCACCTCTGTATCATTCACTCTCCCATTGCTGCCAGGCTTTTCTTTTGATTTTCATCCATTTTTTTCCTGTTAATTTTCACTACTGAGCTACCTACTATGATGTTATAAAGAAATTATTTAAGCTCCCTAGCATATGGTATATTAATATTCCCTGTTTGGGTAAATGATGAGATGGAACTGAAGGGATTTCATGTTAGATTTTGTCCAGGAAAATCTTGATTCTACTGAGAAATTTACAAATAATTATGACAGCTGAATTAACAATAATTTTACCTGTACCATTATGGTGTTGTTATGTAAACACCTTATACATACATCGTTTTATTTTACCTTTACAAAATCTTGTGAGCAAAGCATGTCAGTTACAGTTATTCCCATTTCATAGATCAGGACTGAGACTGAGAGAAGTTAAAAGAGCAGCTGAAAGGTCATAGTACTCTTTCTATTAATTATCATCACAAAATCATGCATAACTCTTCAGTGTTTTAATAAGAAATCTTAAATAACAGTGAAGAATAATTATTTAAAATAGTGCAATATACTTTTATAAATGTAAGCAGAATTATCCTGGAATAATCACAATTCAAATAGATTCTTAAGATCTCTTACCCCTCTCCTCTAAGACACCAAAATTCTATTTTCTAGATACTTGCCTAATATCTTTGATTTTTAGTAAATAAACCTAGGTACTTCAATTTATAATAAAAATTACAAAATGCAATTCTAGGCATGAGTTCCCAGTCTAGTAAGTGCTGATCTTTTATGCTTCTTTGAGACTTTTCAGAACATAGGCTATAAAGAAATGAAAACATAATAGTATTTATAATAACTCATATCAGCTGTCAAAGAATGTAATTGCTCATACATTTTTACTTCTACATTTATGATGCTATAATTTATATAATTGCTATAATAGTCTATTTGAACAAACTTGTCGTCCAAATAAATATAGTTTCCTTTAAATAAATATAAAGCCACAAATTTCTAAATGTATCATTTAATAGGATGCCTAGAATTATAGAGCTAATACCAGGAGCATATAATTATTTTGGTGAACACTCAAAAGAGAACAATTGTAGCCAATTTGCAAACAAATTTTCTTGGTCATCTTTTCCACAGAACATAATATTTTCAATAAAATCTAAGTAGTAAAATGTGTGTGGAAAAGTTAGCATTGTTCATTGTGCACATGTATTCCACCAACATGTATTGAGTGCCTTCCATATGACAGTCCTTGCTTAGGCCCTCAGTGCTCTACTAAGCAACTGCTTGAATAAGTAAAGCTATAGGCAATAATGAATCAGTATTTGTGTTGGTGACTTCCAAAGAAAAGCCAGTGCTCTTTAGAAGTTTATGAAACAGTTTATGCCAAACATTGTTTTCTTCAGTGAACCGAAAGGACTATCAAAAGTTCATGCAAACATTGCTATTTAGAATCCTCATGGTTGCTATGATCTTTATTGAAAGCTTTGTCCTCTTCACTAAATACAAAATTTCAGCACAGGATAATTTTCCTTCCTTATGGCCTACTGCTTTAGTGTGGAAAATTATTTCATATTTTGGAAAAATATCCCTTGTCCAACTTATTACACTTATTTCAGTCTCTGATAAAATATAGAAGACAACTAAAATTTCCAAAGAGCATATCTTTTCTTCTTTGAGGAGGCTCTATTAGTTTGCTAAGTTGGCCGTAACAAAGTACCACAGACTGGGTGGCTTAAGCAACATAAACTAATTTCTTTCACAAGTATGGAAACTAGAATCCTTTATCAAGGTGTTGGAAGGGTTGGTTTCTTCTGAAACATGTTTTTTTTTTTGGCTTGTAGAATTCCACCTTCTTCCTGTGTCTTCACATAAACTTATCTTTGTGCATATCTCTGTCCAAATTTTTTCTTATAAGGACACCAGTCATATTGGATTAGGGCCTATCCTCATGATTTCATTTTAACTTTTGCCTCTTTAGAGACCCTATATCCAAATACAGTCATATTCTGAGGCATTGAGAGTTAATACTTTAGTATGTGAACTTTTAGGGCATATACAATTAAACCCATAAAAGATGTGAATACCCATCAATCAATATACATACCAGAATCACACAGGGAATTTCTCAAAACAACATCTTGTCTTCTCCAAATGTTAAAAACTCATTTATTCTTTGGTACTACACATGGAACCTTTAAACATCATCATCATGAAATTCCATTTATTATGGTGATCCTGTTGTAAATTGATTGTATATTTATACAGAATTTTTTGGTGGATATGTACCTATTCTGCATTGCACATTATACAAGCCAACAGAGTCCTCAAGTACATTGAGAAATGAAAGATCTGGATATTTAGAAAAGTCTGTGTCTCTCTAGATCTGAATGTTTTTACCATTTTTTCCCCTGGTTACCTCTTATTTCCTTAGCACAATAAAAATAACAGATACTTTGAACTCTCTGAATACTTAAAAATGTATGTATATGTGTGTTCCCTTTTTGCCTAAGATTTTCCTTGTAAGATATTTAGGTTGTCTGCTTTTCAGTCTCATTGGTTTCATCATAATGACAGAGCTAGACTTAACCACTTCTTTCAAAAGAGTAACATTTTTCTGCATGACTATATTTAGGCATTCACAATTTTCTGAATGATTCCTCTAATCTTAAAGTAGTTCATGAAGTACCCTTCTTGCTCAAGTATTTTCCTGTCATACTTCATTCTTCTTAATGTTTATAGAGAAACACACAATTTTTGCACACTAGCAACTATTCATGCACCCAATATTTCTCCCGATAAGTTCAAGAATGGAAATGTTTATATATTCTTATCTTTTGAAATAAGTAAGAACAGTCCCTTGATCTTTTCTTTCTCCTATCAGAGTTTAACCTGCTGGAATAGTTATTTCAAGTCCTGTATTTTGGATTCTAAATTTCTAAAAATTTACTCCAAACAGTAAAAAAGACATTCAAACTATTTAATTTTTCACTTTGTTAAGCAAAACATAGTTAAAAGTGAGGACAACAAACTACCAAGCATACGAAGAGTGGCACTTGTTTGTATGTTTGTTTGCTGTTTGATTTGTATTTTAAACCATATTATTCTTATACTAGTAAATTGAAGCAGATATAAATGTATCAGACAGGCACCAAATCTGGACTTCACTTAGCTTATTTTCTGATAAATTCCCAACATATATAAAATTAGTAGGAGTTAAATCCAAATTATTACTTCCTCAAATCACCTATAGCGCTTAGTGAATACCACTATAAAAACTTTGAATTTCCACCTTATATTTTTTATCAGACAGATAAATTCTCATCAATTATTTGGCCATGAAAAGCATTCTGCATTGTAAACATTCCTCACAGTTCACAATGTGTTTCCTGCATTCTTGCCTCTTTCAGCAGAGCTCTAAGGCCTAAAGGAAAGCTCTTGAGAAAGAAATAGTTACAGATTTCTCATTCTACATCCATCAGTTGACATTTTCATAGTTCCAAGGGCATTACTTGATTTTGGATGGGTCCCTGGCATTTTTGAGTTTTCATAATAATTGTTCTCATTTTCATAATTATTATGAAATTTTCATTTTAGAATTAAGAAATTGTTTATCAGTTCCTCCAATTAGATCATTTCAGTCATGCACTATATTTACATCAAATTTCTCATGTTATAGGCTTTCTTTATTGAAATTTCTGATACAGAGATGAAGTCTTTAGAAATATAATCTTGAAAGATGAGAACGGATTCCATCAAATTTCCCTTGTGAGATGCTGTAGTAAAAAATCCTGTTTGGGGCAATAAAATTAAGGCAATGAAATTTGTATAACAATTTAAATTTGGCATTAACTGTAGTTTTGCCAGTATTTTTAATCACCTTTGAAGAACATGCATCTTAGTTTATTGACGTTCCCTAGAGATGATAGTGAAGAGCCCAGATTTGAGAAAATGTCTTCTGTTTTTAGCCAGATAATTGAAGCAGTTGTGGGAGAGGTGGAAGTATGGTTAATACTATTAATGAAGAATTATTGTCCACTCTGGTGTCTTAGATATTCAGTGTTGAAAAACCTTATAGACAGTAACAATAGCAAGACCCTAATATGTTCATAGTAAACTATGCATTCTTAACCTCACTCTTATGAAGAAACCAAGCTGATGACATGAGAAGGAACATAGGCCAGCTTTCACAAATAACGGCTTCCTGGTCAAGGTTGAAAGATGATATTTCAAGGATAGTATTAAATTACTAGCATGGCTCAATGCACTGTTCAACTTTCAATTCATTGTCAAATGAAATTGGTATAGTGTCAAAAAACGGCAAAACCCTAACACAACAATTTCTCCCTGGAGAAACATACTGTAACTATTACAACACACTTTTAAGGTTTATTGATTTGGAGATAGAAAGCACAGCTAGACAGGAGAGATGACAGAAATGAAGTGCATTTCTCAGACAGGCATAATAAACATGCTCCCAAGTCAGGGATCAATCATATAAATATGAAAACACAGCATCGGTTAATTGTTATGTATTCTGCTTTCACAGCTGTATTTGCGCCAGATTATAAGTACCCAAAAGACATAGGTATTTCTTCTCAAGATGCTGGTACCAATATAATATATGCTTAATATCTGAAAAGAAAACTGGGATGATAACTTCAAAAAGACTACAGACTGTGCGTGTAGATAAATCATGGCAGAGCTTCAGGACTGTATGCAATATCATATCCACAGCAGAATTCAGGAAGTTCAACAGAAAATTTCCCATTAAAAAAATCTGTATGTTGTATCTTCCCTTAGTATAGGACCTCTATAATGCATTTCTGCATAAAGGTGCCTATTGAATGGACTTTTCCCTTGTTAGAACTGTCAATATAATTATGCTTATTTACATACTAAATTAGCACCAATAGAGGTAATAGAGATTTTTATATATTATTAATATTCTAATAAGGAATATTCTAATTATTTTCATTCATTTTGAATAGTGTTACTTCAAAGTTATTTGATCAAACTTGAATCCTATATTAATATTGGCAAATGAAGCAGTGACTTAAAAGCTATATTAACAGATGCATATGCACTTTCTAATTCAAGAATTCCCATAGTACATTTTTCATTAGATTTTAATATCATCAATGTTATTTCTTCTAGAATGTCTATACAGAATATGTGTATATTCTGATAATAATACAATGAATCTGCTTCATTATATTACATATTTCTAAGTTCAAATAAAAATAGTATTACATAAATCTCAGATACGAAAAAAGACTATGTCTACTAAATTAGGGTAAATGCTCTTTGAAAGTTTTCAACACACATTTGAATTTTCTGAATACAGTCAAGTTTTTTTAATGTCATAATAAATAATAGGGATCCTAGGTCTTGTAAAGTTTTTAAAGAATTTTGTAACCCTAGCACATTAATAATCACCACATTGGAGACTTTTCAGACTAATTTATGAAAAAATAGATGATGCCCAACATTACCTCTATTATCTATGTTGTTCTAAAAAATACAGCTATTGTATGAAAGCAAAAAACTGGAAAAAAAACAATCAAATAATAGAGAAACTATTATTATATATATAATTACACATGGCATTTAAATGTAAAATGGTTAGATTTGCAAAGAAAGCTTAGTGTAATAGGTGAGTATAAGAAAAATAATGAACATGAAAATTAATAATTTTATTCACTGTAAAGATTAGTTCAAAATATATAATGGTAAACCCCTCATTAACAGTAGCAAATATAGCCATAAAATAATTAGAATAAACACAAACAGAAAAGTATGGGTTGTATAGGAAGAAAAAACTATCAAATATTAAATATAATAAAAAGAAAGAAATTAAATGTTTAGCATATTATAGAACAGAAAGTTTGAACATTTGCCATGTAAGTCCTTAAAAAATAATGTAATTCCAATCTGAAATATAATTTTTTATTTTATTTTACGAATTTGGAAAAGTGATTTATTATTTCTCTAAAAGAAATTAAATACGTAAAAATAAAATGAAGGAGCCATAATCCCATAGTACATTGTAAAGATACAATAAGAAATAAATAATTTATGATGCAGGATTAATACTATTAATACCTATGATTAAGTAGGCATCAAAATTAATTGGAAAATGAAAAATTATGTTTTTCAGTGGTGCTGACACTCTTGGTTAGCTATTTTAAAACATGTTTGACTAAGGTATTTGGAAAAAAACACTAAAGACAAATAGCATTTCTGTATGTTACTGTGAAATAATTGTACTATATACAGAAATTATAAAATACAATAACATTTCTATATGTTACTGTGAAATAATTGTAATATGTAAACAATTATAAAATATATCTAACTCGGGCAACAAAAATATATAAAATACTTAAGAATAAAACTAGCACGATTATGTAAAAATCTAGAAGATAAAAATAGTACCACTTTATCGAAGTCACTAAAAGATCTAAGAGACAGAGACATGTCAAAACCCTGGATAAAAAGACCAAAAATTCTAAAGATGCCAATTTACCCAAATAAATAAATATATTCAATGTACTTCTGAACAAGTCCACAATGGGAATTTGTGTAATGCTAATTATATTTGAAAGAAAAAAATGAAAATAAATATCTTACATATTTGTTCAAAAGATAAGCAATGAGTGAAACATGTTTTCCAAGGTTCAAATATTATTGTAAGAGAGAGAAATGTATAGAAAGATGGCTAAATACTCCTGCAAGTATCTCCCTGTGGGAACACCAAATTAAATACCTATCCACACAAAAAAGCACTTTCATAAGAAGCAAAAATCAGGTGAGTGATCACATAATCTTGATTTAACATAATACCAAGGAAAAAGGCATTGAAAAGGGTAGGAAAGACAAGTCTTGCATTGCCTACACCAGTCCTCTCCCATCTACCCTGGCAGTGTCCTGAAGAGAGACAATCTGTGTGCTTGGGGGAGAGAGCCACATGAGTGAGGAATTTTGCATTGGAACTCGGTACTTCTGTGTCACAGTGAAGCACAACACGGCAGAATTCTGCTGGTGCCACAGAGGGAGCATGTAGACCAGCCCTGGGCTAGAGGGGAATGCCCTGCCCCAGTGGGAGAAAACCAAGTCCCTGCCAGTTTCATCACTGACTGACTAAAGTGGCCTGGGGCCCAGAATAAATCTGAGAGGCAGTCAGGCCATAGGATTACAGTTATTGGGCAAGCCCTGGTCCCAGCTGCACTGGTCTCAGGGGCAATGGACTTGGGTTGTGCATGACCCATTGTAACACCAGCCGTGGCAACCAAGGAGTGTCTATCTCATCCCTCCCCCTACTCCATCCAGTACAGCTCAGGAGGAGACTCTTCACTTGGAGAATGGACAGGGAAGAGTACAAAAACATTGTCGTGCAACTTGGTTTCCAGCTCAGCTACAGTAAAATAAAGCACTAGGCAGATTTCTGAAGGCCCTAATTCCAGGTCTGAGCTCCTGAATGACATTTTTAGACCCACACTGGGACAGAAGGGAATCTGCTATCCTGAAGGGAAGGATCCATTTCTGGCTGGATTCACCATCTACTGACAAAAGAGCCCCTGGTCGTGGAATAAACATCGGCAGTAGCCAGGTAGTAGTCATCATGGGCCTTGGACAAGACCCAGTACTGTGCTGCCCTCGATTACCCAGCACACTCCCAGCTGTGGTGGCCACAGAATTGCCCTCCCCCAACTCCAGGCAGCCTAACAGGAAGGGAAATTCCTTCTGATTAGCGGGAAGAGAGGGAAGGGAGTGAGAGCCTTTGCTTAGTAATTCCCTTAGTAACCCAGGGAATTCTTTCTTTTAAAAAAAATTACTTTAAGTTCTGGGATATATGTGCTGAACGTGCAAGTTTGTTACATAGGTATACATGTGCGGTGGTGGTTTGCTACACCTATCCACCCGTCATCTAGGTTTTAAACCCGGCATGTGTTAGGTTTTTGTTATAATGCTCTCCCTTCCCTTTTCCCCGACTCCCCGACAGGCCCCGCTGTGTAATTACGTCTGGAATTGGTGGGTTCTTGGTCTCACCGACTTCAAGAATGAAGCCGTGGATCCTCGTGGTGAGTGTTACAGCTCTTAAGGTGACGCACCTGGAGTTTGTTCCTTCTGATGTTCAGATGTGTTTGGAGTTTCTTCCTTCTGGTGGGTTCGTGGTCTCGTTGGCTCAGGAGTGAAGTTGCAGACCTTGGCGGTGAGTGTTAGAGCTCTTAAGGTAGTGCATCTGGAGTTGTTCATTCCTCCCGGTGGGCTTGTGGGCTCTCTAGCTTCAGGAGTGAAGCTGCAGATCTTCGCAGTGAGTGTTACAGCTCATGAAAGCAGTGTGGAGTCAAAGAGTGAGCAGTAGCAAGATTTATTGCAAAGAGCGAAAGAACAAAGCTTCCACAGGGTGGAAGGGGACCCAAGCGGGTTGCCACTGCTGGCTCCGGCAGCCTGCTTTTATTCTCTTATCTGGCCCCACCCATGTCCTGCTGATTGGTAGAGCCGCGTGGTCTGTTTTGACAGGGCGCTGATTGGTGCGTTTACAATCCCTGAGCTAGACACAAAGGTTCTCCACATCCCCACCAGATTAGTTAGAT
This sequence comes from Homo sapiens, assembly GCF_000001405.40. Lineage (NCBI taxonomy): Eukaryota > Metazoa > Chordata > Mammalia > Primates > Hominidae > Homo > Homo sapiens. The sequence goes on along the minus strand of NC_000004.12, from coordinate 137,734,403 downwards.
ACAGAGTATGGACACAAAGGTTCTCCAAGGCCCCACCAGAGTAGCTAGATACAGAGTGTCGATTGGTGCACTCACAAACCCTGAGCTAGACACAGGGTGCTGATTGGTGGGTTTACAAACCTTGAGCTAGATATAGAGTGCCGATTGGTGTATTTACAATCCCTGAGCTAGACATAAAGGTTCTCCACGTCCCCACCAGACTCAGGAGCCCAGCTGGCTTCACCTAGTGGATCCCGCACTGGGGCCGCAGGTGGAGCTGCCTGCCAGTCCTGTGCCGTGCACCGGCACTTCTCAGCCCTCGGGTGGTCAATGGGACTCGGTGCCGTGGAGCAGGGGGTGGCACTGGTTGGGGAGGCTCCCGCCGCATAGGAGCCCATGGAGGGGGTGGGAGGCTTAGGCATGGCGGGCTGCAGGTCCGGAGCCCTGCCCCACGGGAAGGCAGCTAAGGCCCGGTGAGAAATCGAGCGCAGCGCCGGCGGGCTGGCACTGCTGGGAGACCCAGTACACCCTCCGCAGCCGCTGGCCCGGATGCTAAGCCCCTTATTGCCCAGGGCCTGCAGGGCGGACCAGCTGCTTCGAGTGCGGGGCCGCCAAGCTCACGCCCACCCAGAACTCCAGCTGGCCGGCAAGCGCCGCGCGCAGCCCTGGCTCCCGCTGGCGCCTCTCCCTTCACACCTTCCTGCAAGCTAAGGGAGTGGGCTCCGGCCTTGGCCAGCCCAGAAAGGGGCTCCCACTGTGCATCGGCGGGCTGAAGGGCTCCTCAAGTGCCGCCAAAGTGGGAGCCCAGGCAGAGGAGGCGCCGAGAGCGAGCGAGGGCTGTGAGGACTGCCAGCAGCTCTCATAATGTTCACCTCCCTGTGTCCATGTGTTCTCATTGTTCAACTCCCACTTATGAGTGAGAACATGCGATGTTTGGTTTTCTGTTCCTGTGTTAGTTTGCTGAGGATGATGGTTTCCAAAAAATACGGAAGGCTTCACGAATTTTCTTTCTTATCTTACTCAAGCCTGCCGCTCCCTCTAGGAGTCCCTTAAGGGTGCAGCATTCCTGAGCTTAGGGAGCCCCCTAGTGCTGATATGGATGCAATGACCACGGGCTTAGATCACAGCACTCAACCCCTTCTAAACACATGGAAAGCCTTTTCAAGGACCAGTACAAACAAGCCCAGACTCTCAAGATCAAAATAAATACCTATCTCTTCAATGCCTAGACCTTGACAAATGTCCACAAGCATTAAGAATATGAAAGGAGGCCGGGCGCGGTGGCTCACGCCTGTAATCCCAGCACTTTGGGAGGCCGAGACGGGCGGATCACGAGGTCAGGAGATGGAGACCATCCTGGCTAACACGGTGAAACCCCATCTCTACTAAAAATACAAAAAAAATTAGCCGGGCGTGGTGGCGGGCACCTGTAGTCCCAGCTACTCGCGAGGCTGAGGCAGGAGAATGGCGTGAACCCAGGAGGCGGAGCTTGCAGTGAGCCGAGATCACGCCACTGCACTCCAGCCTGGGCGACAGAGTGAGATTCCGTTTCAAAAAACAAAACAAAAAAGAATTTGAAAGGAAACATGACATCTCCAAATAAAAGCACCAGTGACCAATCTTAGAGTGTTAGAGATATGTGACCTTTCAGACAGAGAATTCAAAATAGCTGTCTATAGGAAGGTCAGTGAACTTGAAAATAACACAGAGAATTTAGAATTCTATCAGAGAAACACAACAAAAAGACTGGAATAATAATTTTTAAAAATCAAGCAGAAATTCTGGAACTAAAAATTCAATTGACAAACTGAAAAATACATCAGTCTCCTAAAAGCAGAATTGACTAAGCATAAAGAAATAGCAAACTTGAAGACAGGCTATATGAAAATACACAGACAGAAAAGAAAAAAAAATAAAGACACACAACTACAAGATCTAGAAAAAAAGCCTCAAAGGGGAAAATCTAAGAGTGATTGGCTTTATAGAAATTGGAGAGAGTGAGAGAGAGATCAAAGTAGAAAATTTATTCAAAGAAATAATAACAGAGAACTTTCCAAGCCTAGAGAGAGAGATGAATATTTGTGTCCTGTAAGTTTATAGAACATCAAGCAGGTTCAACCGAGATAAAACCACCTCAAGCCATAAAATAATAAAACCGTCAAAGGTCAAGGATAAAGAATGGACACTAAAAGCTTTAAAAGAAAATAAGGAAATGCCATATAGAAGAGCTCCCATATGTCTGGTAGTAGTCTTATCAGTGGAAACTTTACAGGTGAAGAGAGAGTGGGATGACATATTAAGAGTGCAGGGGAAATAAAATCCAACCTAGAACATTATGTCCAGCAAAATGATCCTTAAAACATGAAGGAGAAATAGGCTTTCCCAGACAAATAAAAGCTGAGGGATTTCAACACCAGACCTGTCTTATAAAAAATGCTAAAGGGAGTTCTTCAATCAGAAAGAAAATGATGCTAATTAACAAAAAGAAATCATCTGAATATAGAAATCTCCCTGGTAGTAGTAAGTATACAAAAAAGACAGACTATCCTAACACTGTAATTGTGGTGTGTAAACAAACCACTTATATCTTTAGTAAAAAAAGTAAATAAATAAAAGGCAAACCTATCAAAAATAATAATTACAACTTTTTAAGATATAGAGAGTATGAAAAGATACATATAGAAACGATCAAACGTCAAAAAGAAGGGTGAATGGAATTAAAGAGTAGACTTTTTTTAGTGTTCTCTTTGCTTCTTTGCTTGTTTTCCTTTCTTTATAATCAGAGTTAAGTTATCATCTGTTTGAAGTAATTTGTTATAATATATTTTTTGCAAGCCTCATGGCAACCACAAAACAAAAACCTGTAACAGATACACAATACACAGAAAGGAAGAAATTAAAACATACTCTCACAGAAAATCACTTCTATAAAAAGGAAGACAGGAAGGAAGGAAAGAAAGGAGGCAAGAAGGAAGGAAAGAAGAAATAAAGGAAGCAAGAAAAAGGACGGAAGACAACGAGAAACAATGAAACAACCAGAAAACAAATAAAATGACAGTAATAAATTTTATCTATCAATAATGGCATTGAATGTAAATGGACTAAATTCTCAAACCAGAAGATGTAAAGTGGCCAAATGAATAAAAAAACAAGACTTGCCTATATGCTGTTTACAAGAAATTTATTTCATCTTTATAGGTTAAAACAAAAGAAGACTAAAAGTAGAAGGATGGAAAAAGATGTTTTATGAAAATAGAAACCAAAAAAGAGCAGGCATAGCTATACTTATATCAAATAAAATAGATTCCAAGATAAAAATTGTAAAAAGAGACAGGGTCATTATGGAATGATAAAGCAATCAATTCAGTGAGAGGGTATAATAATTGTAAATATATATGCACTCAACACGTTAGCACTCAAATATATAAAGGAAATATTATTACACCTAAAGAGAGAAATAGACCCCAATATAATCATGGCTAGGAACTTCAACACCTCACTTTCAGCATTGGGCAGATCATCCAGACAGAAAATCAACAAAAAATCTGACTCTATCTGCAGTATGGACGAAATGAACCTCATAAATATTTACAGAGCATTTTATCCAATGGCTGCAGAATACACATTCTTCTTCTCAGCACATGGAATATTCTTAATTATAGACCATGTTAGGTCCAAAAATGTGTCTTAAATAATTCAGATAATTAAAATTATACTGAGTATCTTTTCTAACCACAATGGAGCAAAACTAAAAATCAATAACAAGAAAAGCTTTGGAAATTATACAAACACATGGAAATTAAACAATACGGATTTCAGGAGGCTGAGGAGGCTGAGGCATGAGAATCATTTGAGCCTGGGAGGCAGAGGTTGCTTTGAGCTGAGATCGTGCCATTACAATCCAGCCTGGATGATGGGAGTGAAACCCTGTTCCCTATCCCATTTAAAAAAAAAAAAAAAAAGAGAGAGACAGAAGAAGAGGAAGAAAACTAAAGACTTCCTGAAAGGAGTGAAAATGTAAACACAACATGTCAAACCTATGGGATACAGCAAAAGCACTGTTAAGAGGGAATTTTATAGCACTAACTGCCTATATCAATAAAGTTGAAAAAGTTCAAATAAACAACCTAATAATATATCTCAATGAACTAGAAAAGCAAACCAACCAAAAATAGAGAATAAAAAGTAATAATAAAGATCAGAGCAGAAGTAATTGTGAATGAGGCTTAAAAACTCAAAATGTAAATGAAATAAAATGTTGAGTTTTTGAAAAAAATAAACAAAATGAACAAAGCTTTAGCCAGATCAAAATAGATAGGCCACTCAGATCAATAAAATCCGAGATGAAAAAAAGCCATTATAATTAACACCTCAGAAATTCAAAAGATTATTAGAGACTATTATAATCAACATTTTGCAAATAAGTTGGAAAACTTAGAAGAAATAGAAAAACTCGACACATACAACCTACCAAGATTGTAATGAGATAGAAGCAGTAATTAAATGCCTCCCATCAAAGAAACACCCAGGAACTGATTACTTTACTGCTGAATTTGATGAAACATTTAAGAAAGAACTAATACTAATCTTACTCAAACTATTCCAAAAATACAGGAGAGAATATATCCAAACTAATTCTGAGGTCAGTATTACCTTGATACCAAAACCAGTAGAAGACACAGCTTAAAAGAAAAATACAGGACAGTATCTCTGATGAAAACAGATGCAAAAATCCTCAACAAAATACTAGCAAACCAAATTTAACAACACTAAAAAGATCATTTGTGATCAAGTGGGATTCATTTCAGGAACACAAGGATGGTTCAACACACACCCATCAATAAATGGGATACATCATATCAACAAAATGAAAGACAAAAACTGTATGATCATTTCAATTGGTGCCAAAAAGTATTTGATAGAATTCAATATCTCTTCATGACAAAAATTCTCAAAGGACTGAGTGTAGAAGAAACATACCTCAACACAATAAAAGCCAAATATGACCAACCCACAGCTGAATGGGAAAAATAGGAAAACATTTCCTCTAAGATCTGGAACAAGACAAAGAAGCCCACTTTCACTGCTTTTATTCAACTTAGTGCTGGAAGTCCTAGCCAGAGCAATTTGACAAGAGAGTAGAATAAAGGGCATCCAGGTTGGAAGGGAAGAAATCAAATTATCCTTGTTTGCAGGCAATATGTTCTCATATTTATAAAAACCTTAAGATTCCACAAAAAAACCATTAGAACTGATAAGTGAATTCAGTAGGATTTCAGGTTACAAAATCAACATACAAAAATCAGTAGCATTTTTATATGCCAATAGCAAACAATCTAAAAAGGGAACCAAGAAAGTAATCTCATTTACAATGGCTACAAATAAAATTAATACCTAAGAGTAAATTTAACCAAAGTGAATCTGAAAGATCTCTACCATAAAAACTATAAAACAGTGATGAAAAAAATTGAAGAGGGCACACAAAAAAATGGAAAGGTATTCCATTGGAATTCCAGGTATTCCATATTCTGGGTTGGGAGAATCAACATTGTTAAGATGTCAATATTACCCAATGCAATCTACACATTGATTTCAATCCCTGTCAAAATACTGGTGACATTCTTCATAGAAATATAAAAAACAATCCTAAAATTTATATGGAACTACAAAGACCAAGAGTAGCCAAAGACATACTGTGCAAAAGGAACAAAACTGGAAGCATGACATAACCTTATTATAAATTATAGTACAAAAGCTATAGTAACCAAAACAGTATGCTCCTGGCCTAAACACAGACACATAGGCCAATGGAACAGAATAGAGAACCCAGAAATAAATTCATGCATTGCAGAGGTGTCTAATCTTTCAGCTTCCCCAGGCCACATTGGAAGAAGAAGAATTGCCTTGGGCTGCACACATAAAATACACTAACATTAATGATAGCTGATTAGCTAAAAAAAAAAAAAAAATCTCATAATGTTTTAAGAAAGTTTATGAATTTGTGTTGGGCTGCATTCAAAGCTGTCCTGGGCCACATGTAGCTCTCAGGCCACAGGTTGGACAAGATTGATTTATAATCAGCTCATTTTCAACAAAGCTGCCAAGAACATACACTGGGAAAAGAACAATGTCTTCAGTAAATGATGCTGGGAAAACTGGATACCCATATGCAGAAGAATGAAACTAGATTCCTATCTCTCCCTGTGTATGAAAATCAAATCAAAATTGATTAAAAATTTAAGACTGAAAACTATAAAATTACCAGTAGAAAATTTTGGGGAAACAATCCAGGACTTTGATCTGGGCAAATATTTCCTGAGTAAGACCCCAAAAGCACAGGCAGCCAAAGCAAAAATGGACAAATGGGATCACATTATGTGGAAATGCTTCTGTACAGCAAAGGAAGCAATTAATAAAGTGAGGCGACAACCTCCAGAATGGGAGAAAATATTTGCAAATTACTTATCTGACAAGGGATTAATAACTAGAATATATAAAGCACACAAACAACTAAATAGGAAAAAAACCAAATAATTCAATTTAAAAACGAATAAAAGATCTAAATAGACATTTATCAAAAGAAGATATACAAATAGCCAACAGGTATTTAAAAAAATTCTCAACATCACTAATCATCATAGGAACAAATCAAAACGACAAAGAGATATCTCATTCCAACTAAAATGGCTTTTGTCAAAAAGATAATAATGAATGCTAGCAAGGATATGGAGACAGACTCCTACATTGTTGGTAGAAATGTAAATTAGTACAACCACCATGGAGAACAGTATAGATATTCCCCAAAAAACTTAAAATAGAACTAACATATTATCCATTAATCCCATCACTGGGTATATATCCAAAAGAAAGGAAACAGAATGTCAAAGAGATATCTGCACTCTTATGTTTATTGCAGCACTATTCACAATAGCCAAGATATGAAAGCAACCTAAGTGTTCATCAATAGATAAAGAAAATGTGGTACATACATACAATGGAATATTATTCAGCCATAAAAAATGAAACCTTGTCTTTTGCAACACCATGGATGAAACTGAAGGATATTATTTTAAGTAAAATAACCCAGAGACAGAAAGACAAATATTTTGTATTCTCCCTTATATGTGGGAGTTATATAAAAAAAAATGAGTTCTTGGAGACAGAGAGTAGAATGATGGTTACCAGAGTCTGGGAAGTGTAATAGGGAAGGGTGAGGGATAAGGAGTACAATGGGTACTCTTGTACTAATGGGTGCAAAATAGAGTTAGATAGAATGAATATCAAGTATTCAGTAGCACAATAGGGTAACTGTAATTAACAATAATTTATTGTATATTTTAAAATAACTAAAAGAGTAGAATTGGAATAGTCCTAAAACAAAGAAATGATAAAAGCTGGAGGTGATGGATACTCCAGTTACCCTGATTTGATCATTACACAATGTATGCCAGCATCATGCATATCCCCAATAAGTATATACAACTATTTTGTACTCATAATTAAATTTAAAAATTAAATAGAGATTTTTGTGAAATTATATATAGGAATTTAAAGTGCAAATAATTGTAATAAACAAAGGAACCTAGAATAAAATCCTATAAACCAACTTCTCTATGTCTGATATTTTACTTAATGTTAATAGTAGAACTGCAGGCCAGGTGCAGTGGCTCACGCCTGTAATCTCAGCATTTTGGAAGGCCGAGGCAGGTGGATCACCTGAGGTCGGGAGTTCGAGACCAGCCTGAAAAACATGGAGAAACCCCATCTCTAATAAAAATACAAAAAATTAGCCAGGCATGGTGGCACATGCCTGTAATCCCAGCTACTCGGGAGGCTGAGGCAAGAGAATCACTTGAACCCGGGAGGCAGAGGTTGCAGTGAGCCCAGACCGTGCCATTGCTCTCCATCAAAACTCTGTCTCAAAAAAAAAAGTATAATTGCAAACCAGTAGGAAAACTGTAAGTTATTCAATTAATGTCCTATTAGTTATTCAAACTGTTTAGAATATTCCAGATGGATTCACAATTACCTTCAGTTCATTTAGAATTATCTGTATGGTTTAATATACATAAATATATATATATATTAAAGGACATATCCAAACATATTTGATCAGAGAAATATAATTTAGAAAGAGAGTTTTGCATGAAGGCTTTCTACGTAAATACAAAATGCAAAAATTTCAGAAAAGATAATTCATGTGGCTACATAAATAATTCTCTATTATATGTGCTATGATATTCAATGTTGAAAAGTCTTCTACAAATCAATTAACATTTTTTAAAAAGATAAACAGCTTACTCTCAGAGTAAAAAATGACACAAGCCACTACATTTGCTAAAGTATAACCTAACATAATTATTCAGGGAAATTTAAATAAAGCAACATTGAGATGCCAATTTTTTCTCACCCAGATATTAACAAATTAATCATAAGAAGTAAACATGCTTCTGCATTGCTAATATTATAAATTGTTATAACATTTTATAATACCAGCCACCCTTTTAGTGAACAATTTAGCAGTATGTAGTAAACTTAATTACACATGTTCAAATATGTTGACCTAGCAATTCCATTTCTAAACATCTACCCTACAAAATTTATGTTCTACGGAAATATACATAAAAATTTAATTATTGATAAATGTAAAAATAATTATAAGAAACTAGGTTTCCATCATCAGTATGGGGTTAAATAAATTATAGTGCATCTGTACAATTGCAGAAAGTCAAAAAACAAGGTAGATTTCTGTATATTGACACAGAATAAGTTTCAAAGTATTTTTGTAAGTAAGAAAACTAATGACAGAACAATATGTAAGATATAAGCTTATTTATGGTAAATAAACCAAAAGCAGAACTCTGTATGTCTATTATTTCATAACATGTTAGAAAACAATAAACATCAAAATTTTGTGATTGCCTATGATAATAGTAATATTTGAGAAACATTAAGGATAGTTGTACTGGAGAATTGAACATTTAACTGACTATACCTACCTATTTTTTAAGATAGAATGCATTTAAGTATTCCATACAATTTTTATAAATCAAAGATAGTAAAAAGTTTGATGAAAAACTGACAAAATTGTGAAAATCTACAATAAACTACATATATGCCAAGAAAAGAAAAGAGAACTTTCTAAATTTTAGAAAAAAATTTAGACATAACAAAACAACAAAAGGACATATTGATAGCTAAAACAAAATTAAAGTAATAATTTTCTATATCAAATAGTAAAGAAAAAATTAAAAAGCAAACAATAAACTAAGTATACTTGGGCCAAATGCATTATAAAAAGGTAACATTATTTAAAATGAAGAATTTGTACACAGGAATAATAAAATATTAGGAATCCAACTGGTAAGTACACAAGAATAAGGAGATTATAGGAGAATTGTTAGTGGCAATAACAGTTAGACAGTAATTGCAACAATTACAGTTGGTCAAATGAAAAAGAAAAAAGCACATTTAAAGAATGGAATATATTTCAGAGAGAGAGAAAGGGAGGCCTGGGCTCATTCACTCTGCCACAAATATCACCTGGAAAATCTGTGTCAAATAAACAAGCTGAATTTATTCATATTGTTGCCTGGCAGGGGAAAGAAATACTGAGAACAGAGTTTCAAATAACATCTCATAAAGGAGAGTTTACAAAGCTTTGTTTTGTTTTGTATTTCATTGTTTTTCATAAGGATAAGAAATGGTTGAAACTTGAGTGATTTGGGGGGATGCATTTTGGAAGGAGGAGCAGGACCTAAGTAGTATTTGGGTGAAACAGGTCAGGCTGAAGTTACTTTCAATCTCCTGGGCTTTTCAAGCCAGGAAAGGATGATGCTATTGGACAGAATACGTGTGCTGAGATCTCTCTGGATTGTTGGGAGGTACCGTAGCAGACACTCTTGAAAGTCCACCCTAATAGTTAGTCCACTTGAGTTAACAGGATGCTGTGCACAGCCCCTCACACCCTCAAAGCTTCCCACATTAAGCATTTTCCTTTGTCTTTACTAGCTGAAGACTTTCTAGCTCACCAGGACAAATCTCACCCAATGGATGATGGGAAAGCCAGCCTCCAGCCTCCGGAGGCACAATTTGAAGCCGTTTTCCACACAGTTATTCAGTGTCTCGTGATATAGCTGAGATATATCAGAGCATATCTCAAGATATGCTTACTTAAGTATGAACATAGCCTCCTGACTATTCCAGGTTTTTATCCTACCTTGTATAGTTTCACAGGATCTATGTTTATTCTGTTAAATATATATGGTTATTTATTCCACCCTATTTTACCAAGGTAAGTTACTTCACTCTGGATCTCAATTTTTGCATTTTTAAAATGTAGATAAATATAATACCTAGAGCAGAGTATAATTGTAAGGGTTAAATTCATTGAGGTAAACTGCTTAGATGTGTCCAACTAATAGTAAAAATGATAATAGTCATTTTTGTTACTGTCATTATTATAATTATTATAGTTTTTATTACTCAAGTTTCTTGCATATATCCTGCCTCTAAGGAAATAATTCCCTACTTTTTCAACCAAAAATAACTTTCAGCCTTTCCTCACCATTTAGCACTTTAACAATTTGCTCAAAATGTTCTTTTAAAAATTTCCTTTAAATGAGATGCTTAATCCCAAACTAATTTTGGTTCTTCTCAATACATTTTTAAAAATGTAATATACAGAACAAAAATCTCCGAGCACATAATAAATGTATACCTTGATTAATTCTCTCAAAATGCACATAACTCTGAACCCAATACCCAGATCAAGAAACAGAATACAGCTAATACCCCAGGGCCCCTCTTGTGCCATCTTCTATAACAACCTCCACCAAGGGCATCCACTCTTCCAACTTTCTAAAAGAAAGATTGGTTTTGCCTATTTTAAGCTTTTATGTTAATTAAACCACTGCTATCTAAGTCATTTTTTTGTATCTGGCTTCTCTCATTCAATATTTTATTGGGGAGATTTACCCATATCATTAGGGCTTTCTGAAGCTATTGTTATCTTATACCTCAAATGGGTTAGAAGCTCCTTGATAGTTAGGATTGAGACTTTTACTTGGATCCCTTCATATACTCGATATACACCATACCTTGTCAGATGCTCAGAAAATCTTTTTGGAATAAATATTTTGACTCCTTGCTTCTCATAATCCCTCTGAAAGATTTTTCAAAACCTTCCTGTATCACTACACTTATCTATTCTTCATGGTTTCCTTCTGTAAACTACCATTGCCTACCTTCCCCAGATCCCCTTACTTCTTTACAAATATTTTTATGTGATGATGCATATTTTAAACAGAGATTTATAAAGGAAGGAATGAGTAAATATTCAAAACTCCTACTAAACAGTGACAAAGAATGTAACTACTGGTATCATGTTCTCCTTCAGTTCTCTATTAATTGTATCTTCACCATAGATATTTTTATAATTTACACAGATTAACGCTCAGGTATCATTAAATCACCTTTTATCTCATCTCTCTTTCCCATTACTGGCACAAATCTGTAGATCATGTTCTTTCTTATCTGTAACATTCATCTTCTTTAATGGAAATTTCTAGCTGGTCGACTAAGGGATACAGGGAAATTGGTATCTGAACAAAAAAAGGCTATTCCTTATAGATAATGTTACTTTCCTTTTTAGGACAACTTTTAAAAAGTTCACTCCAATTTTGGTTTATGAACTTGATATATTTTTAAATATGTTTCTTTTTCTGCACATTGTGCACATGTACCCTAGAACTTGAAGTATAATTAAAAAAATTAAATACGTTTTAAATCTGTTGCTTGTTAAAATGCTTTAAAAAAAAGTCCCTACTGAACATAAAAAGGAAAATCAGAGAGACCCAATGATGGGGGGAAAAAAATACAGCAAACAGACTACAGTTCCTTTTTTTTTTTAAGATGAAAATTAAAACCATGTGGCTGAGGGACAATTATGTCTTTTCATTTCTTTTTGCTCAAATATAGAGATGTTTGAAGTAAATGAATGACATTTTAGTTTACTGTGAACCTGACAAATGCTATAACAGACTACCCACAAGTCTGTTATAGCACAGATGAAGTTAGTTCAAAAGGACAGAGGGGAAAAGCACCATTAAGATTTCATAACTCTGCTACGACATTCCAAACACCTGGTGAACTTGCATATTTAAGGAAAGGTAGGGAGAACTTCTAAAAAGGAAACTGAAAAACCTGATTATGCACAGGTGTAGCAACTGTACTATAAAAAATGTGATTTTTAAAGTGCATAAAGAACTTAGAGATTAAGTCTTCATTATTTAAATCATTTGGAAATCCTAGAAGCTCAAAAAGTTACTCAGGTAGTCGAGGAAAAAAAATTCTCTGAATTGATCTTTACTGATTCTTTTAGGGCTACCTTGAAAATAACATGCATCTTGAGTGTTAGGATCACAAAGTAGAAAATGTTTTTCCTTTTGCTATAAAATCTAGACAAGAAAATTTTCTTAAGGAGAATATTATATACATAATAGCTTCTTATCAATAAGCCATATCAAAGACTGCACACATGTCAATGATTATTTTATTAGTGAGAAAAGAATCAACGTTTTTTATTTTGTTCATTTTGTTTTGCTCATACCTAGATATATTCTACAATAATTCACAATGTTGGCATTAGTTACCTTCTGAGAGTTATCCATAAGAACAAAACTTTTTCACATTTACATTGGACCTGAAAGTAAAGATAATTATTTTTCATTTCTACTGTAGTTACACTTTTTAATCTATATGAGGGTAACTGATACCTGTGTTCCTTGAGAAGGCTTTGAAATGCACATAGATTTGAACTTCAGGTAGCTGGAGTTCTTAACAATTTATTTTCTCTTGAAATCAATTTCTCAAAAACAAGGAAAATATCTTCTCTTTAAATATTGACTGCTTGTTTAAATGTCAAATATAGTGAACTTTCTATCTGTCAAGACCTTTGTGGTCAAATGCTTGCCAAAATTTACTCTGGTTCCAATTTATTCATTTTCGGTAATTTTCTGTTTCTTATTTCTACTATCTTTATGTTTTTGAAACCCTTAGGAGAGGATTTTTCTAGACAGAGAAAGCAACTTAAAAAAAATCACCACTAAACAGTTTGAATACATATTTGAAGATTCTAACAAGAATACAAAAGGCAGATATAACTTGTTACTGAAAATTTCTCTATAGCATAGAGATTATTTTTAAGTGGGAGTCATTACACCTGAACTAATTCATTTTAAAATGTCAATAAATGGTACAATAAATGTGTGTTAGGCAGCTTACTCTTGGTGACTGTGTCTCTCACCCTCCAAAAAGAGTCACAGACCATTTGATTTTGAAAAGGAGGGATGTTCTCATGCAACGCTGGGTTATGCCTATGATTCTGCATTGTGACTTGCTAAAATGAAGCAGTGAAACTTTTGTTCTACATAGTTTTAATTTTATTATAAGAATAAGAAAATAATCACTGATTAAACACTTGAACTTAGAGCTCAAATCTGGCATTAAGACTCACTCAATTTCACAATGATGCGTGTGTTTTGCTATGAATTACAATAATATCTCACATATAATATTCCTGGGTTACTCTAATTTAAGTGAAGGTTTCTCTCGTTTAAATTAATAAGTACATTGTTGAATGCATCCACGTACATGGTGACAGTCATGAAGACAGGCCAGCTGTTCTTCTGCTTTTTCAAGATGATCAGATCTTTGCTAAGATTTGTGTAACCTGGGTTGTCTGAGTGTGGTTGATTATGGAAGTGAAGATTCAAATAATCTTGAATGTATTAGCAGAAATCCAATAGGCACCAAATAGAAATATCCACCCTTATAAAATCATTATCTTATTTTTGCTATTATTGTATTTACTTTGTCAGGTAGTATGGTTGTTATGGTTAAGTGTGTTCCAACCAAATCGCTTTGTGAATGTTTTTGTTACTATAAAGTCTCAGGATACACATTTTTTTTTTCAAATTGGCATGCAAAATACCTATCTCACAAGCGTTTTGTGAGGATTTAATATAAACAACTTATACAGTAGCTTCTTGTCCTGTTTTATTATAGCTTTTAAAAAATCTCTGGAGTCATTTTGAGAACAAATTTTACACCAGTAAATCATGCTGGAAGAAGAGGGTCATCAAGTATTATTTTGTATCTTCATAATGCCAAGCATTTTTTTGTGTTATAGATATTTAATAAGCATTTATACAGGTAAATAATAGAACAAAAATTGCCTGATATCTTGTATTAGTTCATTCTTTTATTGCTATAAAGAACTACTTCAGACTGGGTAATTTATAAAGGAGAGAGGTTTAGTTGGCTCACGGTTCCACAGGCTGCATAGGAAGCATGACTGGGGAGGCTTTAGGAAACTTACAATCATGACAGAAGGTATGCATGTCTAGGGGAAGCAGGCACATTTTACATGGCCTAAGAAGGAGGAAAAGAGAGAGGGGTGAGGTGCTATACACTGTTAAACAACCAGATCTCAAGAGCACTCACTCACTATAATGAGAACAGCAAGTGGGAAATCCACTCCCATGATCCAATCACCTCCCACCAGGCCCCTCCTTCAACACTGGGGATTATAATTCGACATGAGATTTGGGTGAGGACACAAATCCAAACCATATCATATCTACTAGATTCTAGTGCTACAATTAGACATTTTATATTGTCTAAAGAAGAGTTTATGTTAGCATGAATCTAGTCATAATATTAGGATCCAAGGAAATAGTTGCTAATATTCTTTAAAAATCTACTTTTTATTAAAAGAACTAAACAACCACTGTGTCACCATTGATAAATTGCTCTTTTCAGAATACATGTTTGAAAAGTAACTAAAAGTTATTATTTTGCCATTAGTTTAAAGATTCAAACACTTACATTTGCAAAAGTTGTAATTGCTGAATTCATATAGACAAAATCTGTCTAGAAGTCTTTTGAAAAATATGGCAGCCATGAATATTTGTCAAATAAAGGTTTGATCAATTATTTAAAGTATTTTGACATATTTTTGGTACTCAAATCATACTATTTTGAAAACTCTAACAGCAACATATACGTGGTTGTGATAAATTATGTTAAGTATGAGTTTTTCTTGAATGTGTTAATGGAGAAGTGAGACATTTGTGAACAGAGTTCTCATGGTTAAATTGTTAGAAAACAGTTTAAAAATTACTCTTAGTGTAATATGAATAGAACTGCTGGTGCTCTAATGTTCTAGATATACATATATGTAGGAAATAGAACACAGAAAACATTTTCAAAGTCTCTAAGTGAATTATGCCTTAGCCATAGAAATGTCAAGTATCTCACTGAGAACTGGTGATGTTTACAAAATCCCTTTTTTGTTGTTGAGCCCTGAATTTCAGGTGTTGTCTGTCTAGGAGTATGCAATTATTAAAAAAAAAAAAAAAAGATCAACGACAACTCTATTTAGCTTCTTTAGCCTCTTAGTAAGTGATTTCTTCTTGCTTTTATGCTCTTGTCCTCCACATACACAGCGTTTGGCCAATGCCTAGAGAGATATTTGCATGCAGAAAGTTAGACTCATTTCTCTTTGATTTCTTTTTTCCCAGGGATACTGATCCCTCAAGTTCTTTCCTTCCTGGATGCCTTTGTTGTTTTCCAATGCCCTCACTTAAAAAAAAAAAAAAAAAAAGCTAGCTTTCATAGCTAATCTCAGCTGGAGGTTTAGTTTGATACAAGCTAATCTAAATTGCCTGCAGCAATCAACTGGAGATACAATTTTTAAAATGTTAAATATACAGATTTTGCATATCAGGGCAGAGCAGCTAAAAATGAACTTCCTAGTCACATTTTGATACATTAAGGCCAATAGATAGTTAAGAGTAGTCATCATAGCTATTGTTCTAGACTCTAGAAAAAAATACTTTAATTTTGTCTTTGGTTACCCAAGTTTTCTTATAAGGTGAACCTTTTTAAGTTTTTAACACTCCAGATATTTTAGGAAAGGTCCTGATACTTGAAGAAAAAATCTACCTTTACCTCTGCTGTGGACTGAGTTGTAGACTCCCCAAAATTTATATGTGAAGCCTAATACAGTTTGGATATTTGTCCCTACCCAAATCTCATGTTGAATTATAATCTCCAGTGCTGGAGGTGAGGCCTGGTGGTAGGTGTCTGGATGACAGAGGCAGATCCTTCATTGCTGGGTGCCATCTTTGTGACAGTGAGTTCTCATAAGATCTAGTCATTTAAAAGTGTGGGGCACTTCCCACTACCCGCTGGACTCTTTCTCTTGCTCCTACTCCTTCCATGTAAGGTGCCTGCTTCTCCTTCAACTTCTGGCATGATTGTAAGCTTCCTGAGGCCTCCCCAGAAGCTGAGCGGATGCTAGCACCATGCTTCCTGTAAAATCTGCGGAATTGTGATCCAATTAAACCTCTTTGGTTTATAAATTACCCAGTCTCAGATATTTCTTTATAGCAACTCAAGAATGGCCTAACACAAAGCCTAACCTCCAATATGATGGTATTTGGTGATGAAGCCTTTGTGAAGTTTAGGGTTAGCTGAAGTTATGAGGGTAGGGCACTCATGGAGAAAGTCATGGCTTTATTTGAAGAGAAAGAGAGAAATCCTGCTCTGTCACGTGAGCCAAAAGGTAGGCCTCTGAAAGCCAGGAAGCGAGCCTTCAACAGGAAGACCCTAGTAGGCCAGCACCTTAATCTTGGACTACCCGGGCTCCAGAATTGTGAGAATAAACATCTGTTGTGTAAGCCATCCAGTATACAGTGCTTCAGTTTTACTCTCTTGAGAGCATGTTCCTTCAGTAGACTTTTATAGTCACTCTTCTTCTTGTAAGTTGAGATTCTTTATAAAGGAACACACTCATACCAATGTTCTGGAACCTAGGACATCATTCATTACCTTCAATTTTATAAAAACATCCTTTTTTTTCTTTAAATATCTAGCTTTTTATATAGATATTTTATACAAATATCTTTGTATAAAATATTGGCATCAGCCTCTAATTTTAATAATGTTTCTGTGGGAAAGAGTTTTTTTTACAATAATTTGTTTTATAAAGCAGATTTTTAAAGAAATATTGAAGTTAAATTAAGCTTTAAATATGTTTTGACCTACAAAAGTAATTTCAATCATATATTCCTATACAAAAATATATTATGTTCAAAATATATAACACAAACTATATAGATATATGTTGTATCTCATATAAACATACATGTACATAAACATAATACTCACATATATCATATATGTGTATATGTGTATTATCTACACACAAACAAAAAATTATAGTGTACTGTCAATTCTATCCATATTGCATATTCACCCCTACACAAAATTGTTTCACATTTTTTCCTAGAAACCTGTTAAAATCTTATTCCATAGAAGCCAGAGTGATACACAAACACTCCTGACAAGACCCGCTCCATTATTAAACACTGTTTTCCAGATCTACGCACATGTTGCTGCAGTGCTAGAGTGAAGTAATGTATCTATTAAGCACTTAGATGAAATTTCACTAATCCCTATATACTCAGATCAACCTACCCTCTAAATCTAGCTTTTTCTGAGCCCCTAAGTAGATGTGATCATGGCTTCCTTTACAGCTCTCTTAACACCCTTACCTAAGGCTCCCTTGTTTTAGACGTGTAACCATTTTATTTGGCTACTTGATTATAATTCCCAGAGCATTAGTTCCTAAGACAGCCACATTTGTCATGTATTCATCTTTTCATTTCCTATAGTAAGTAACACAATTGCTTGCACATTATAGGTGCACGGTATGAAATTAAACTTGGGTTTTGTTTTGGCAGTAAGCTAGAGAGTAATAAAATATTAATTTCAATAAAAAGTTAGTAGGAACTTATGACCTATTCTACTTGTTTGTCTTATCCTTCTCATTGGGCAGTTTAATGGCAAAAAATTATTTTCATACAACAAAATATAACTGAATTTATTATTAAAAACAAATTATTTCAGACAATGGTGGTATAAACTTTAAACTTGCAAACTAAAATAACTCTGAAAGCCACTGGTAAGCAACATTATTTTGTTCTATGGCACACAGCATTGCATTGTATAAAATATCACAAACTCCTACATATTTACCTGACAGCTGGGTTATGGTCACTGTGGGAACTATAATTTCAGATTCACAATATACATTTAACAGCTCAACATTTATACTGCTTTGAGGTAAGGTTTTCTACATAATTATCTTATATTTTTTGTTTCATTTAATGAAAATGGTTACACTTTTAAAACAAACTATGTTCTATACAGATGAGGATACATTTTTTCTGTGTATATTTTGGCCATTTGTTTTATAATGAATCTGGGCAGAATCCTCACTAATTGCATGAAGGTGTTCTGAGACCTTAGTTGACTTCCCATTTCCTATTGATTTGCCATCATCAAGAAAGTGACTTAGCTGCTCTTAGAAAACATACTGTCATTAAAATTAATGATGACGTTGCCCACTTTTAAAATAACAAGAAAATATATTTCAGGTTTTTAAAAATAGATAATTGTTAGAGAATTATGAATCCAGAGCCAGATTCAGACACAAAAAATTGGTGGTAGAATTTATTTAAAGATAAATATCCATTATTTATCATTTTCCTGCTTCCTGCCTCCTGTCCCTAGTCTCTCTAATTCCATACTCTTCTCATATACTTATTTCTCATCTAAGGTAAGAATGGTTAATTACTTTTTAAAACATTATTTTTGAAGGAACAACTTTATTTGCATAAAGGTCAACATTTTTAAACTAAATTTATTCATTAAAATAAGAGACAGATAGCTTCTATCTGTATGCTAAATTTGAGCAATTCTTTCTAAGTGCGAATTTGTATGTATTGAAGTCTATTACCTAAGTGTCTTTGAAATTCAGCATTCAACTTTTGTTTGTTTAGCAATTACTATGGGTAAGGCGTGGTGCTAGACCTCACAAAAGTAGAATTGAGTCAAGCAGACTAAAGTTTGCCCTCATTCGGTTTATAATCTGAGAACAGGGTAAGCAGGATAAATTAATCACATAACCAAAATTAACCAAGTGATCACAAACACACATACATACACTTCATGTGTGTATGTATTTGTACGTGATGACCAATGAGGGTGATATAGGATCATATAAGCAGAGGGCCTTACCTAATCTGTTGGGACAGGGAAGGTATCTGTGAGTGTGTCACCTAAAGTTGTAGAATTAGATGCTCACTTGTTAGCAGTGGAAGTTATTCAAGTTACTGGAGGCATATCCATATGGGTCTGCAGCAACCTCAGTTCTTGCCTCCTTAGAAGAAAGATTTTGACTGAGGGGCATAAGGCAGAAAAAGAGATCAAGGCAAGTTTTAGAGCAGGAGTGGAAATTTATTGAAAGGTTTTAGAGCAGGAATGGAAAGAAAGTAAAGTACGCTTGGAAGAAGGCCACGAGGGCATCTTGGAGGTCAAGTGCCCTGTTTGACCTTGGACTTCGGGTTTTACATGTTGGCCTACTTTTGGAATCTTGCATCCCTTCTCCCCGATTCTTCCCTTGGGATGGGTTGTTTGCATTTACAATGGCCTGCTAATGCTTGGGAGGGGAGCATGTGCAGTGTGTTTACTGGAGATGTATGCATGCTCACCTGAGGCGTTCTTCCCTTTCCCTGTGGAATGACCCTGAAAGGTCATATGCCAGTTAAAGTACACCATTTGACCTCTTAGTGCACATGTGTGAGCCCACTCACCCACCCCCTGAGATCACCAGTTTCTGGTTTTTTTCTATTTAATGGGAGACTGCCTTTCTCTGATGTTGGCTACAACCAATTACTATTTTAGAAAGGCAGTGTGACAACTTCCTGACCATTATCTGATGGTCACCTGACTTTCCTTGTGGGCTCTGGGGACCTTCTCCTGCCCTGTTCATGTCTGACTGGCTATCCACTGTAAAACACTAATATTGAACCCTAAGGCCAGTTTTAATCACAGAACATTGAAATCAAGTTAACAAGAAATACAAAAAAATAAGAAGTACAAAAATTAACTTGTCAATAAAAGGAGAAACTAAAGTCAAATTAAAGTAATATAAAGAATATTCTCAAAATCATTATTAGAGGCTCTTAATGTGGTATTATTATGATAAACAATATAATACTCTTACTTTAAAATTCTGATTTTTTTGTTTCATTTTATTTTATTTTTGTTGCTGTTTAAATACATTAAGCTTTGATTAGTCCACCAGATCTTCACTCATAACTTGCTGGAAAAAAATACTTTGAAATACTCAGAGACTAGACAGATCCCCTTGAGAAAGGCATATCACTTGAAAGCCTTCTTTATCGGGCAGAGAAAAGATAGTACTAAAGATTTTACAGTATTATTTAAATGTAAAATGTAAGAGTATGGTCTAGATATTTTCTAGAGTGTGCACCATAACAAGTTACACATTGTAGAATAATCAAATAAGCCTGTGAAGTTATATTGATGTTATACCCCATGTAAAAACCACCCTGGCCAGTCATAGTGGCTCACACCTGTAATCCCAGCACTTTGGGAGGCTGAGGTGGGGAGAACACCTGAGGTCAGGAGGTCTAGACCAGCCTGGCCAACATGCTGAAACCCTTTCTCTACTAAAAATACAAAAATTAGCCTGCAATTCCAGCTACTCAGGAGGCTGAGGCAGGAGAATCTCTTGAACCCAGGAGGTGGAGGTTGCAATGAGCTGAGATCACGCCACTGCACTCCAGCCTGGGCGACAGAACAAGATTCTGTCTCAAAAAAAAAAAAAAAATAATAATAAATAAATAATTAAAAAAAAAACCACCCTATTTGGTATTCACAATAAACAAATACTTATTGAAGTATCTAAATATATCAAACTCACTGGGAATTTCTGCAGTAAAGAAATCTTTTTATTTTTTTATTAAAAAAACAGATTGACAACTAACATAATAGTTGTCAAATACAACAAGTAGTTGTATTTGTTCCTTAATAAATATTTATATTCAGCATAATTATTTAATTGTTGTAACATAATTTTAACATGTTGACCTATTCTAATCACACCTGTTGACAGTTGAGAATTACATTGTTCTAGGAAGTTAAATAATTTTCCAAAATATGCATATTTAATGATAGTGACTATTGGCAACAAGATACCTTCACTCCCATATTTATATTCTGTCCCTTGTATCATTTTAATACATATTGTTAATATATTCTCCCTTGATGTATTCAGATACTAATTTTTAGTAGAATATTCATTTACTTTTGAGTTGAAGTAATAAGCCTATATCAATATACATTCATAACACATACCAATGAAGTAATTGCCATTCTTTTATATAAATAAGTTTGTATGTCACCACTACATGTAAGTATACATGAGCTAATCATTTGGATGTCTGATTCCTCATTTCATCTATTGAGGAAAAAGGGAAGTAAAATTAATCATTCTTTTCTCATTAAGGCAACATGACAAGCTCTGAAATGTTGATAATGGACTTTCATTGAATCACTGTCATTCTGGCCTTCTGAAAGCTTTTAAGACCCTGTAAACATATGTTGCAGTGCTACTGGTTCCCAAGGTGGTCATAAATGTGCATGCTATAAAAGAACAATCAGCCACACTCAAAAACATTTATTTTAATATAGCCCCTTAATAACAATACAAGGAATCTCTATAGAATTTCATTTTAGTGACCACTTCTTACTGTCATAACTGGGCAGGAACATTCAAAGGAGCAAAGGGGCAGAAATAATCAAAACAATGAATCTGAATATTCTACCAAGCAGGTTTTCAAACTAGTGATATATCTCATTAATATGGGCCCACATAAAAAATCAATGAAATTGATAGAAATAATTGCATGTGATATCTTCATAAAGAGATCTGCTGTGTTGTCATAGAATGGGGAAAAGCTAGGAAGAATTTAGTGAGCAGATGGAGAAAACAGCAACTGTTTTCTCACTTTTGGTGTTGGAAAATAGTTTACCAAAAAACAAAAACAAAAGCACACAGAAGAAAACTTCACACAAGCCTCACTTAAGAGCAGCAGTGAAATTAACGGTGATCTAAATATGGCTGTGGCCCCACCTTTCTCATTTTCTACCATACTAGTGTTTCTTTGGACTAATGCTTTTATCACCATCCCTTGAGCTCTGGTGGAACCACTGTCATCCTAATGCTGCAAATAAGCACATAATGGTCTCTGACATCAAGTCAATAATCAATGGACTTCTTATACCACAACAAGATTGATACCAAAAAACGTTTATTTATAAAATTCTAAATAATAATAATGTATATATTTTTTATTAAAATTACTATGACCTTCTTAATTGCCTTTCTTCTCCTCTTCATTTCATCTGAATCTTCTGTCAGGTTAAAATTTTTGTCATATTACCTCCTGAATTAAACTTACTACTGACTCCAGACCAGGATCAGCTGGGAATCTGAAGAAGTTCCTTAATTTTGGGACACGATAAGTGAGACACCCACAGTGGTCCGCATTCCTGCCCACAAACTCCTACAGTCCTAGTTATAAGAGAGCTTCTCAGCACTTGCAGGCTCTAAGACTAACATAGAGAGCTGCCTGGAGACCGTGCAATGGAATTGATCCAGAGACAGAGGTCATGCTGGTTTCTACAAACACCTTACTCTCGAGCAGCTGCAGCATGGTGCCATTTTGAGAGCCCAGCCTCCACAAGACTGTGTCCTGTCATGCAGATCAATAGCTTCTGCATCTCAATATCTCTGGAGCTTTAGTAACATTCCTTCCTCACAGCTGCTGCCATGAGGGCCACTGCAGGAACCATGAGCATTGACCCTGCACTGCTCAGCAGAGGGGCAGCCATGCATATGCAAATGCCCTGAGGACAAATGCACCTACCTGCAACTGCTGCCATAGTGGGCTGCTATGGAACTGAGGTGGAAGTGAAGCTCATGCCCCTGGCTGCCTGTATATGGCTGCTCCCATTGAAAGCAACCCCATCCTCCACTGTAGCAGAGTCACAATGCAATCACAGCAGCCCTCATATGAGCATTTTGCAGGTGGTCTGGGGATCGCCCTGCCCCTGC
The DNA here is from genome assembly GCF_000001405.40 of Homo sapiens. Classification (NCBI taxonomy): domain Eukaryota; kingdom Metazoa; phylum Chordata; class Mammalia; order Primates; family Hominidae; genus Homo; species Homo sapiens. The sequence goes on along the minus strand of NC_000004.12, from coordinate 137,711,368 downwards.
CTACCACAGCCAGTGATGGTATACATAACTGGGAGGCCAGAGGGTAGGTCTGACTGGCTCGGTGACACTCTCACCCCATTACCTGAGCACTCAGTTCAGGGGCCTGAGGATTGCCCAACCCAATAAACCACTGTTGGCACCTGAGCACTTCTTGTGAGATCTGAGGTCAGGCCCACTAAACATGTTGCTGCCACGAGAAGTGGCACCCATCCATGCCATCTGTGGGTCTGGGACTGGCCTACCAAGCCCACTGTAGCCAACACCAACACAAGCACAAAAGCTTGGGTCCCAGCAGATTGTCCCACCACTGCTATTGCTATCACCCATGTCACACCCACTGCCCAGGGGCTCAAGAACCTGCTCACCTACCTGGCCCATTGCTGCCATTCCCAGTACATGAAGAAGCCACCTGGATGCCCAAGAATCAGCCCCATTTTACCCACTAATACCCGTGCCAGCGTCTGCCACAGCTGTCCCTATTAAGGTCCAAAGCCTGGCCCATCTGGCATCCCAGTCCTCAGCAAAACTTCATAACACTTTCACTCACAACTGCACCCTAAGAAATCGAGGAAAGCACAAACACTACTGGCACTGTTTATAGCCAAAGAAATCATACAGAAACTACACTACTGCACACACACAAAATCAAAGCCAAAGAGCCCTACCCAACCAACACATACACAGATCTTAGGAAAAAAGTCCTCCCTGTGAAAGCAAATTCAAAAAATTCCCCCGTATTTCCAAAGAAGAACTACTACCAATTCTTCATAAGCTATTCTTAAAAAATTGAAGAGGAGGGAATTCTTCCTAACTCATATTACTAGGCAAGCAGTACCCTGATACCAAAACCAAACAAGGGCACAACAAAAAATAAAACTACAGGACAATATCTCTAATAAATATAAATGCAAATATTTTCAATGAAATACTAGTGAACCAAATTCAACAGCACATTAAAAAATATATGATCAAATATAGTTTATCCCACAAATGCAAGAATGATTCAACATATGCAAATCAATAAACATGATACATCATGTGAACAGAATGAACGACAAAAATCAAATTATCATCTCAATAGACACAGAAAAAGCAATTGATAAAGTTCAACATCTCATCATGATAAAAACTCTCAACAACCTACTTACAGAAAGAATGTATCTCATCATAATAAAGCCCATAATATGTGACAAAGCCATATACTGAATAGGAAAAAGATGAAAGCCTCCCCTAAGAACTGGAACAGGACAAAGATGCTTACTATCACCACTCCTATTTAACATGGTACTGGAAGTCCTAGCCACAGCAATCAAACAAAGGAAAGAAATAAAAGGCATATAATTTGGAAAATAAGAAATCAAATTGTACTTCTTTGCTGATGATGAGATAATACATGTAGAAAAACCTAAAGACTCTGCCAAAAAACACTTATATAAGATTAATAAATGCAGTAAAGATACAGGATAAAATATCAGCATGTAAAAATTGATAGCATTTCTATACACCAATAACAAAATAGCTGGGAAAGAAATCAAGAAGGCAATTCCATTTGCAATAGCTCCAAAAAAAAAAAACTGGAAATAAGTTTAACCAAAGAGGTGAAAGTTTTCCTCTACAAGGAAAACTACAAAACTCTGATGAAAGAAATGAAGGGGACACAAACAAATGGAAGGACATAACCGTGATCATGGATCACATGATTTAATAGCATTAAAATGACCATACTACCCAAAACAACAGCCAGATTCAATACGATTCTTATCAAAATATCAATGTCATTTTTCATAGAAACAGAAAAATAATCTTAAATTTTCATGGAACTACTAAAGAGCTTTCGTAGCCAAAGAAGTCCTGAGCAATAAGAACAAAGCTAAAGGCATCACACTACTTGAATTTATTTTAAAATCTATTATGAGGCCATAGTTAAAAAAAACTAAAATACAAACAAATAACCCAGCATGGTATTGCTATAAAAACAAACACAGAGAACAATGGAACAGAATAACAGAATAGAGAATCCAGAAATAAATCCACATATTTACAGCCAACTGATTTCTACAAATGTACCAAAAACACACATTGGGGAAAAATGCCCTCTTGAATAAATGG